>NC_000023.11:88523148-88826178 GCF_000001405.40 Homo sapiens | reverse complement strand
CTAGACAGTGAGCATCTGGCTTCCAAGCCAGGTGGTATACTGCTCAAGAGGGCAAGCATTCTTACTTGCTTCACTCAGTACTGAGGTGATCAGCATGACTGAGTGGTTGGGAAAGGCTGGAAGCAGAAAAGGGAGGCAGAAACTCACAGCAACCAGGGCTTGGAATTTCAAAAACAGTCATAAATTCTACAAACTGCTTCATAGACTTAAACAGAAAGCCCACTTATGACCCTTACCTGGAGACCCCCCCAAGTGGTCCAAAGGCACCCCAAAGCTCCACTCACTTCACACTCTGCCCCTCAAACATGTGGCTTGCTCCCCATGTTCATTTCCACAGACAGTATATGTGAGCCTCCGAAAATGGCTTGTGAGCACTTGTACACAGCAAACTTGACACTGTGTGATTGGAAGAAGACACACAAACTTGAATATTTTAGGGGACCACTCTATGGAAAACCAATAAGAGACTCTCAGCATCTGTCCTGGCTTTGCAGAATAGGGAGAAGGTACACAATCTTAAGAATCCTTCCCCCACCACCAAGAATAAATAAGAGGTGTAGAACAGACATATTCACAGAAAAGGTGTGAGAAAACTTCAGAATCCCTGACAAGACTTACTGGTAAAGGCATTTTTTGTTTCTAAAGCCAGTCAGTAAAGAGGTGACTGCTTCTTCAAATGGGAAGATAGCAGTAGAAGATTTCAAGAAACAGGTAAAATCAAGGAAACATGACAACACCAAAGAAACACAATAAATGGCACTGGTGGTAAAGTGGTGAGCATAGCTGCCTTTCAAAGAACATAATAATCACCCAGTAACAAACTTCAAAGGAATTGAGATCTAGAATTTGATTGGTAAATAATTCAAAATAATAGTTTTAAGGAAGCTTAACCAGATACAGGAAAACCTGGATACAGAACTTGGCAAAATCAGGTTACTTGGGCCTGGGGTGTGAGAATAATGGGGAAACTTTGGCCAAAGTATACAAACTTTCAGTTGCAAGGTAAATAAATTTTAGAGACCAAATGTGCACCATATGATTATAGTTAATTAGTGTATTGCATACTTGAAATTTGCTAAGACTCGATCTCAATTGTTCTCGCCACACACACACAAAGTATAACTGTGAGCTGATGGATATATTAACTAGTTTGATTGTAACAATAATTTTACAATGTATATGTATACCAAAACATCATGTTATACATCTTAAATATATACAATCTTTATTTGTCAATCACACCTCAGTAAAGTTGGAGAGAAATACAGCTTAATAGGTCCTTTCTCTTGTGAAGTCACCTGGAAGCCCTCAATTAGTTATTCATTTCATCTGCTGTACTTACTTCCTTTCTTTACAATGCCTAGGACCTTGTGTATACTCAGAAAGTATGTGTTACATAAATCATATTAACCTGAAAAAGTTAACTAGAAAAAAAATTATCTTTATTATTTCACTATGTTTTATATTTGAGAAAAGACATGCTACTTAATTTCAGCTATTTAATTTAATGGCTCTGAATTTTTAAAGCACTGTAGATTAATTAAATAACATATAGAAGGTGCTCAATAAATAGTTGTCAATAATGTCTGGCTTTATTGTGAGCAATAATGCAGCCATAAATAATATTTGATAAAAACAAGATTATTTTATTAAAGATTTAAGATATTGAAAAATCTTATTTATTAGATATTGACTTTTTAATAAAAGTTAAATATATCTTAACAAATGGTATTTGCAGATATATTACACATATATTTATACATCTAGTTAAGTAAAAAGAAAAAATGTTTGCTATGTAGAAATATTAAAGCTGCCAATTTAACCCCACCCCAGCTAATGTGCATGTTCTCCTCTGCACTGCTATGCCTGCTGGCATGTATGAGCAAGCATTGATCCTGCTGCTACAGCCCTGAAAAAGTGCTTTGGCTGGAAACACCCAACACAGTGTGATAGCCAATGGAACAGGAACAATTTGGCCCCTCCAACCCAGTAAGTTCCTAAAACTGAGGGGCCAGAGAACAAAGTCACAGCCTGATACCATCATCCCAGATTTAAATCATGCAGAGCAGAAGTGATGAGCTGAGCCTTGACCCTCTAAAATCTTCCAGAAACAAACCCAGTCAACTGAACTCACTTTATACCACAATCAAACCCTCATGGGCTTCAAAAAAGATAAAAGCAAAAACAACAACAAAAACATCCAAACGACAGAAACTTGAAAGACTGAAGAAACACCATCCCACACAGATGAGAAAGACCAGCACAAGAACTCTGTAAACTAAAAAGGCCAGAGGGTCTTACAGCCTCCAAAAAACTGCAGTAGATCCCCAGCAATGGTTTTTAACCAGGCTGAAATTGCTGCAATTGCAGAAATAGAAATTAGAATGTGTATAGGAAAGAAGATCATCAACATCCAGGAGAAAGTTGAAACTCCAAGGAATTGAAGAAATATAATGAAATGATACAGGAACTGAAAGACAAAGCAGCCATTTTAAGAAAGAACCAAACTGATATGATAGAGCTGAAAATGCACTTCAAGGATTTCCTAGTATCATCATAAATATTAACAGCAGACTTCATGGAGCTGAGGAAAGAATCTCAGAGCTCAAAGACTGGTTCTCCAAAATAACTCAGTCAGATGAACCAATAAAAAAAAAACTAAAAAAGAATGGATAAAACCTGTGAGAAATATGAGATTATGTAAAGAGACCAAATCTACAACACATTGGCATCCTTAAAAGGGAGAGAGATAAAGCAGGCAAATTGAAAAACATATTTTAGAATATCATCTATAAAAATTTCCCCAACCTTATTAGAAGGGCCAACATTAAAATTCAGGAAATGCATAGAACTCTTGAAAGATATTATACAAGATGAGCATCCCCAAGACAAATAGATATCAGTTTCTCCAAGGTAGACATTTTTTACAAAATGATAAAGGCAGCTAGGCATAAGGGAAAGGTCACCTTCAAATGAAACCTAATAAGGCTAAAAGTGGACCTTTCAGTGTAAACTTTACAAGCCACAGAAGATTGTGGGCCTATATTCAGCATTCTTAAAAAAAAAAAAATTCAACCAAAAATTTTATTTCCAGCCCAAATAAACTTCATAAGCAAATAAAAAGTAAACTTCTTTCCAGAAAAGAAAATGCTAAGGTAATGTATCACCACCAGACGTGCCTTAAAGGAGGTCCTTAAGGGAGGACTAAATATGGAAAGGAAAGACTGTTACTAGCCACCACAAAAGCACACTTAAGTACATAGACCAGTGACACTATAAAGTGACCACACAATCAAATATGCATAATAACTGGCTAACAGCATGATAACAGTATCAGCTCCACACATATCAATATTAACTTTTACAACCAAAAACTAAATTGACTAAATGCTGCTTAAAAGGCACAGAGTGGCAAGTCACATAAAGAAGCAAGACCAAATCGTATGCTGTCTTCAAGAGACACACAACACAAACCATGGTATTTATAAGTTCCATGTAAAGGGGTGGAGAAAAATCTACAAAGTAAATAGAAAACAGAAAAAAGCAGGGGTTACTATAATTTTAGACAAAAGAGACTTTAGACCAACAATAAAAAAGACAAAGAAGATCATTAGATAATAGTAAAGGGTTGACATTAATGAGAAGATCTAAGTATCCTAAATATATATGCATCAAACACAGGAGTACCGAGATACATAAAGCAAGTTATTAGAGATGTACAAAGGAACTTAGATAATTGCACAATAAGAGTATAAAACTTCAACACCCCACTGACAGTGTTAGACATATCATCAAGGCAGAAAATTAACCAAGATATTTAGGGCCTGAACTCAACACATGACCAATTGGTCCTAACAGACATTTACAGAACTCACCAATCAAAAATTACAGAATATGCATTCTCATCTACACACGGTTCATACTCTAAAATCAACCACACTTTTGTCCATAAAACAATTCTCAGCAAATTGAAAAAAAAATCATACCCAGCACACTTTTGATGGAAATCAGTACAAAGAATATTTCTCAAAACCATACAATTAACAGGAAAATGTAACAACTTGCTCCTGAATGACTATTTGGTGAACAATGAAATTAATGTAGAAACAAAGAAATTATTTGAAACTAATAACCATAATACAGCATATCAGAGTCTCTGCAACACAGCTATAGAAGTATTAAGAGGGAAGTTTTAGTACTAAATGCCCACATAAAAAAAGTTAGAAAGATCTTAAATTTATAACTAAACATCACAATCACAGTTAGAGGAACTAGAGAAACCAGAGCAATTAAAACCCAACACTAGCAGAAAACAAGTAATAAGCAAAATCAGAGTCTAACTAAAGAAAACTGAGATAGGAAAAACTATACAAAAGATCAACAAATCTAAAACTTTTTTCTTTGAAAGAATAAATAAGACTGATAGACAACTAAGTAGACTAGAGAATACAATTCTAAGCAAAAAGAACAAAGATGGAGGTATCACATTACCCAAGAAGAAAAAAAGAGAAAAGTTTCAAATAAACACAATCAGAAATGTTAAAGAGGACATTACCATCAAACCCACAGAAATTAAAAAAAAAAAAACTTTCAGAGGCTACTAAAAATTACACTTCCCAATATTGAATCAGAGAGAAATTGAATCCCTAAACAGACTAATAAGGAGGTCCAAAATTGAATCGGTAATAAAAAGTCTACCAGCCAGAAAAAGCCCAGGGCCAGATACAGTGAATTTCTAGCAGATGTATAAAAAGAGCTGGTACCATTCCTACTAAAACTATTACAAATAATTGAGGTAAAGAGACTCCTCCTTAACTCATATAAGGCCAGCATTATCCAGATATCAAAACTTGGCAGAGAAACAACATAAAAATAAAACTTAAATATTCTTGAGAAACATAGATGCAAAAATACTCAACCCAATACTAGAAAACTGAATCCAGCAGCATATCAAAAATCTAATACACCACAATCAAGTAGGCTTTACCCCTGAGATGCAAATTTAGTTCAACATATGCAAGTCAATAAATGTGATTCATCACATAAACAGAACAAGTAAACCAAAAACACATGATCATTTTAATAGATGCAGTAAAGGTTTTCAATAAAATTCAACAGTACGTCATGTTAGAAACCCTCAACCAACTAACCATTGAAGGAACATACATTAAAATAATAAGAGCAATCTGTGACAAAATGACAGTCAACATCACACTGATAAGAAAAAAGCTGGAAGCATTCCCCTAGAGAACCAAAACAAGAGAAAGATGCCACTCTCACCACTTCTATTCTACATAGTACTAGAAGTCTTGGCCAGAGCAATCAGGCAAGATAAAGAAATAAAACACATCCAAATAGAAAGAGAGGAAGTCAAAATATCTCTGATTGTCAATGTTGTGATTCTATGCCAAAAACCCCATAGTCTCTGCTCAAAAGCTTCTAGATCTGATAAAGAACTTCAGCAGAATTTCAGGAAATAAAATCAATGTACAAAAATTAGTAGCATTTCTATTCATCAATGATGTTCAAGATGAGAGCAAATCAAGAACACAATCCCTTTCACCATAGCTACAAAAAGAATTAAACATGTATAAATGCAGCAAACCAGGGATGTAAAAGATCCCTACAAAGAGAATTGCAAAAAACTGTGCATAGAAATCAGAGATGACAAAAACAAATGGAAAAAATATTCTATGCTCATGAATAGCAATATTCAATATTATTAAATTGGCCATATTTCCTAAAGTAATCTACAGATTCAATGCTATTACTTTTTAAAATTTATTTATTATATTTTAAGTTCTGGGACACGTGCAGAACGTGCAGGTTTGTTACATAGGTATACATGTGCCATGGGGGTTTGCTGCACCCATCCACCCATCATCTAGGTTTTAAGCCCCATATGCCTTAGGTATTTGTCCTGATGCTCTCCCTCCCCTTGCCCCCCACCCACCAACAGGCCTCAGCGTGTGATGTTCCCCTCCCTATATCCATGTGTTCTCATTGTTCAGCTCCCACTTATGAGTGAGAACATGCAGTGTTTGTTTTTCTGAGTTCCTGTGTTAGTTTGCTGAGAATGATGGTTTCCAGATTCATCCATGTCCCTGCAAAGGACACGAACTTATTCTTTTTTATGGCT
The DNA here is from genome assembly GCF_000001405.40 of Homo sapiens. Classification (NCBI taxonomy): domain Eukaryota; kingdom Metazoa; phylum Chordata; class Mammalia; order Primates; family Hominidae; genus Homo; species Homo sapiens. The sequence continues at coordinate 88,820,039 of NC_000023.11, read as the reverse complement.
GCATAGTATTCCATGGTGTATATGTGCCATATTTTCTTTATCCAGTCTAACATTGATGGGCACTGAGTTGGTTCCAAGTCTTTGCTATTGTGAATAGTGCTGCAATATACATACATGTGCATGTGTCTTTATAGTAGAATGATTTATAATCCTTTGGATATATACCCAGTAATGGGATTGCCAGGTCAAATGGTATTTCTGGGTCTAGATCCTTGAGGAATCGCCACATTGTCTCCCACAATGGTTGACCCAATTTACACTCCCACCAACAGTGTAAAAGCATTCCTGTTTCTTCACATCCTCTACAGTATCTGTTGTTTCCTGACTTTTTAATAGTCATCATTCTAACTGGTGTGAGATTGTATCTCATTGTGGTTTTGATTTGCATTTCTCTAATGACCAGTAATGATGAGCTTTTTTCAACTGTTTGTTGGCTGCATAAACGTCTTATTTTGAGAAGTGTCTGTTCATATTCTTCACCCACTTTTTGATGTTTTTTTTTTTTTCTTGAATGGGATCTAATTAAACTAAAGAGCTTCTGCACAGCAAAAGAAACTATCATCAGAGTGAACAGGCAACCCACAGAATGGGTGAAAATTTTTGCAATCTATCCATCTGACAAAGGGCTAATATCCAGAATCTACAAGGAACTTAAACAAATTTACAAGAAAAAAACTCAATGCTATTTCTATTAAACTACCAATGACATTCTTTGCAGAATTAGAAAAAAACTAATTAAAAATTCATATTGAAACAGAAAACAGTCAGAATAGCCAAGGCAATCCTAAACAAAAAGAGCAAACCTGGAGGCATAACATTACCCAACTTCAAACTATACTACAAAGCTATGATAACCAAAACATTATGGTAGTGGTACAAAAACAGGCACATAGACCAATGCAACAGAAGAGAGAGCCCAGAAATAAGCCTACATGCCTGTGACCATCTGATCTTCAGCAAAGCTGACAAAAACAAGCAATGGGGAAAGGATTCCCTATTCAATAAATGGTGCTGGGATAACTGGTTAGCCGTAGGCAGAAGATTGAAACTGGACCCCTTCCTTATACCATATAAAAGTTAGCTAAAGAGAAATTAAAGACTTAAATGTAAAACCTAAAACTATAAAAAACTAGGAAGACAGAAAGATAATCTAGGAAATACCATTCTGTATATAGACCCTTGCAAAAAAAATTATGAAAATGCCAAAGGCAATTTTAACAAAAAGAAAAATTGACAAATGGGACCTAATTAAACCAAAGAACATCTGCACAGCAAAATAAATTATAAACAGAGTAAACATATAGCTTACAGAATGGGAGAAAATACTTGCAAACTGCATCTGACAAAGTTCTAACATCCAGAACATATATGGAACTTAAATTAAAAAGCAGAAAACACAAAACCCTATTAAAAAGTGGGCAAAGGACACAAACAGACTCTTCAAAACAAACCTACACGTGGGCAAGAAGCATATGAAGAAATGCTCAACATTACTAATCAATAGAGAAATACAAATCAAAATGACAGATATCATCTCACAGCAGTCAGAATGGCTATTATTAAAAAGTAACAGATTTTGGCAAGGTTGCAAGCAAAGGGGATGCTTATACACTGCTGGTGGGAATTTAAATTAGTTCAGTCATTGTTGAAAGCAGTATAGCAATTTTCAAAGAATTCAAACCAGAATTATTAGTAATCCCATTATTGCATATGTACTCAAAGGAATATAAATATTTCTACCACAATGACATATGCATGCATATGTTCATTACTGTATGATTTACAATAGCAAAGACATGGAATCAACCAAAATGCTCATTGGTGGTAGACTGGAAAATAAAATATCATACATATGCACCATGGAATACTATGCATCCATAAAAAGGAATGAGATAATGTCCTTTGCAGCAACATGAATGGAGCTGAAGGTCATTATTCTAAGCAAACGAATGCAGGAAAAAAAAAAGCAAATACTTCATGTTCTCACTTAGAAATGGAAGCTAAACCTCTATTTTTATTTTAAACCTTGACTATCAATGGAAAGGTGCCTAAGGTAATAAGTAGAGTAGACTACAGACAGATTCACTGCAAGTGATTTTTTGTTCATTTAATTGTATTTTTTAAAATTTTTCCATAAGTTATTGGGGTACAGGTGGTATTTGGTTACCCGAGTAAGTTCTTTACTGGTGATTTGTGAAATTTTGGTGCACTCATCACCTGAGCAGTATACACTGCACCATATATGCACTCTTTTATCCCTTGCCCCACTCCCACTCTTCCCCCAAGTCCGCAAAGTCCATTGTATCATTCTTATGCCCTTGCATTCTCATAGCTTAGCTCCCACATGTCAGTGAGAACATACAATGTATGGTTTTTCATTCCTGAGTCACTTCACTTAGAATAATAGTCTCCAATCTCATCCAGGTCACTGCAAATGTTGTTAATACATTCCTTTTTATGGATGAGTAGTATTCCATCATATATATATATGTATATGTGTATATATATATGTATATGTGTATATATATATGTGTGTGTGTATATATATATATATATGTATATATGCATATGCATGCCAGTTTCTTTATCCACTCGCTGATTGATGGGCATTTGGGTTGGGTCCCCGATTTTGCAATTGTGAATTGTGCTGCTATAAACATGTGTGTGCACTATCTTTTTCATATAATGACTTTTTTTCCTCTAGGTAGATACCCAGTAGTGGGTTCGCAGGATCAAATGGTAGTTCTACTTTTAGTTCTTTAAGGAATCTTCACACTGTTTTCCATAGTGTATACATTCCCACCAGCAGTGTAGAAGTGTTCACTGATCATCACATCCATGCCAACATCTACTGTTTTTTTTTTTTCCTTTATTTTTTGATTATGGCCATCCTTGCAGGAGTAAGGTGGTATCACATTGTGGTTTTGGTTTGCATTTCCCTGTTCATTAGTGATGCTGAGCATTTTTTCATATGTTTAATTAAGAACTTAAATCTAAGACCTGAAACTATAAAAATTCTAAAAGATAACATTGGAAAAACCCTTCTAGACATTGGCTTAGGAAAGAATTTCATGACCAAGAACCCCAAGAAAATGCAATAAAAACAAAGATAAATAGTTGGGACTTAATTAAACTAAAGTGCTTTTCCATAGCAAAAGGAACAGTCAGCAGAGTAAACAAACAACCCACAGAGTGGGAGAAAATCTTCACAATCTATACATCTGACAAAGGACTAATATTCAGAATCTACAATGAACTCAACAAATCAGTAAGAGAAAAACAATCAATCCCATCAAAAAGTGGGGTAAGGACATGAATAGACAATTCTAAAAAGAAGATATACAAATGACCATTTTAATTGTTTTTCTTTTTGCTTTCTTTTCAGATGGAAGATACTCAATATATCAGCAGAGAGAGCAGAGAGAAAGAAAAAAAATAACCTAAAAGAAAATAATAGTAGATGGAGCCATGCCCTAAACTTCTTTCCTCTCAGTAAACCATTTGCCCAACTTCCTAATGAGAATGAGACAAAAGGTCAGATTCTGAAAAGATAAAATATTAGGCTTAGTCTAGAGAAAGGTTATTTAGTCTCCTGAAATATTATAGGAAAATGTGAATGGATTCAAATAACAATATTTTATTGGTGACAGGACAGTATTTGGAATGAATTTTTACTATTTTCCATTACTGTCTATTTTTTCTATGACTTTGGAGACAATCTTGCTGAAAGAAATAATTTAACTTGAGGGGCAGCTTCTTGAGAGTATGATAGCTTTAAAAGAAAATTTGAGCTTAGAAAAAAGACTAGATAGGGACAACAAAGGACCAAAGACAAACTCATAATCAGGAAATATCAGCTACACACTAAGTATTACCATACTGAATATTGACATAAATAAATCAGTTCTCTAAATGTGTAACTTAGGAGTTCATAAATAGCATCAAAATTATAATACTAGTGTTTTTAAATCATGGAAAGCTTGAAAAAAGAGGGACTATATCATTACAGCTACAAATATATGGATGAAAATAGAAACCCTCATTTAGAAAATGTTACAAATTAAAAAAAAAGAACTTCATTCAAAATAGTCAGATTTTAATTGCTCTGTAGCCACAACTGCAGATGTTAGTGGAATGTGCTTGTTTTGTTTTGTTGTCAACGTTTTCACAACTGAAAGGATAAAACTGGGTCTTGGATCATTTCCTCTGGAAGAAACAAGCCCTCATGTCTTGAGGACACTAAAACTGCCTATGTAGAGGTCCATATGTAGACAAAGTGAGGACTCCTGTCAACACCCAGAGCCAAACTTGCCAGGCATGAGAGTGAGCCACCTGGAAATCTGTCTTTTAAACTGTCTCCTGAGACAGAATCAGGCAACCTACTTTGGCTTCACAGTTTCTCACTATTATATCACTTTCTTAGTGAGCCATTCTTGTACTGACCCAGAGAAATAAAGAGAAGTAAAGATATAAGGAAAGTTATTTGTTTTCATCACTATTAAGGAAACTTTTTTTTTCTTTTTATCTTTTGCTCTCCAAGAAATGAAAGATATTCAACACTAGCTCATGAAGGAGAAAGAAAACAAACTTGATATTCTACTTCTTTCAGTAGGGTTTTATGCTATGCATTCCCATGCTACCTTTTAAATCCGTTTTTCTTTGGCCTTAAAATCTTGGGATGTTCTTTTAGTCTTATAAATTTTGTGTTTAGAAACCTAAACCAAAGAAATCGAGAAAAATAAAATATTTCCTATTTTTGTTTAATCTCCCTTTGATAATCTATTGAATCATTTTCCTGAAAATTACATAAACTTAAGATGTCTTCTTATTGTATTTAATTTATTATAATTGGATCTCTTTTAATGCTGCATAAAGTAGATTAAATCTGGAAAATTTCTATAATTGGAAAATAAGGGGTATTAATTTGTAAAACTAATACACTGAAGAGAAAAATGACATACTGAAGAAACATAATAAAAATACCTATATACGAACAATATAAATCTGCTAGAAATGTATTATTTTATTTTATACTGAATATCAAGCAAAAGTTCTATTTGAATCAGCATTCTATATGTGAGTCACTTCAAACACACATATCTGATTTTCAGTATTTTTTTTTAACTTTAGTATCCTAAGACTCTGTTCATGGGCTAGTCCATTCTATCGCCATCTTTTAATCTACATTTCATAAAGAGGCAACAGTGAGTGATTGATAATTCAGCATCTCTTGCTAGGAATTCAGTATTTGCTCATACTTCAGACTTACAAAAATGATAATTCTGATTTTTGAATTCAGTCATTTGGAGCACAACCTGGCTCTGTTTATAAATCTCTTTCTAAAATGTGTTTGCTAGAATCTTTTTGCTTAGAAGAAATTCTCCAGTTGATTACAATAGTCTTATCTGCAGATTTTCACAATCATAAAGAATTTCCTAAAAGCTGTACTTCAGTATGTCTTTGAAAAAGACTATAAAGCTTCATAATAAAGCTATCATACTCTCAAGCTTATTATTATTTATTATTGCTGCACACTTTAGAGTTGTATTTAGAAAGCCATATTGAGATTAACTGTAGACACTATAGAAAGAAATATCAATGTAATTTTATAAACCAGGTGATTGCATTTATTTTCTTTTTAACTTCGTGGTTATGACTATCTCTATCCAAATGAGACAAAAACAACATATTGGCAAAAATATTTTTGCTTAGGTAACCTATATTGTAAAATAAAAAGTGCTTTTTGTGGTTAATCCACACAATGGAATATGGTCGGTGTACCAGTGAAAATGAATGACTACTGAAACATGCAATAACATGAATAAATCTCAAAAGTATTATGCAAAGTTTAAGAAGCTAGTCACAAAAGGCTACATACTGTAAAATTACACTTGAAAGTAATCCTTGAAAGGGAAGAAGTATGATGATAAAATCCACATCAGTGGTTGACAAAACAGAGGAGATTGATTTCAAAGGAGCACAAGTTTCTTCTCATAGAGATCTTTAACCTCCTTGGGTAGATGTATTCCCAGGTATTTTATTTTTTGTGTTGTTCCTGTAAATGTGATTGCATTCTTGATTTGGCACACAACTTTAACTTTATTGATGTATAGAAATGCTACTGATATTTGTACATTGATTTTGTATCCTGAAACTTTGCTAAAATTGTTTATCTGTTCTAATAGCCTTTTTTGTAGAGTCTTTAGGTTTTTCTAGGTATGGAATCATGTTGTCAACAAAGAGAGATAATAAGACTTCTTATTTTGCAATGCAGATGCCTTTTATTTCTTTCTCTTACCTGATGGCGTTGGCTAAGACTTCTAGAACTATGTTGAATAAGAGTGGTAAAAGTGGGCATCCTTGTCTTGTTCCAGTTCTCAAGGGAAATGCTTCCGGTTTTTGCCCATTCAGTGTGATGTTGACGGTGGGTTTGTCACAGATTTTTTTTTATTATTTTGAGTTATGTTTCCTAAATGCCTAGTTTATTGAGGGTTTTATTACGAAGTGATATTGGATTTACCAAAAGCTTTTTTTGAATCTATTGAGATGATTATATGATCTTTGTTTTAAATTGTGTTTATGTGATAAATCACGTTTATTGGTTTGCATATGTTGAAACAACCTTTTATCCCAGGAATGAAGCCTATTTGACCATGGTGAATTAACTTTTTGATGTGCTGTTGAATCCAGTTTGTTATTATGTTGGTGCAAAAGTCATTGGCTTTTTTTGCCACTAAAGGTAAAGTAATGGCAAGAAACCAAATTACTTTTGCAACAACCTGACAGTATTTTGTTGAGTATTTTTGCATATGTGTTTATCAAGGATATTGGCCTGTAGTTTTCCTTATTTGTTGTGTTTTTGCCAGGTTTTCATATCAGGGTAATACTGGCTTCATGGAATAAGTAAGGGAATTTCAGAAGACACAAACAAATAGAAATACATTTCATACTCATGGATTAAAAGAATCAATATCATCAAAATGGCCACACTCCTCAAAGCAATTTTTATATTCAATGCTATTTCTATCAAACTACCAATGCCAATTTTCACAGAATTGGTAACACTATTCTAAAAATAATATGGAAACAAAAAAATAAGCCTGAATAGGCAAAGCAATCCTAAGCAAAAGCAACAAACAAAAAGTCCAAAGCTGGAGGCATCACATTATGGGACTTCAAACTACACTACGAGGCTTCAGTAACCAAAACAGCACGGTACTGGTACAAAACAAGATTTGTAGACAAATGTAACAAAATAGAGAACCAAGAAATAAAAGCTTCACAGCCACTACTATCTATTCTTTGACAAAGCTGAAAAAAAATAAGCACTGTGGAAAGGACTTCCTATTCAATAAATTATGCTGGCATAGTTAGCTATCCATAAACAGAAGAATAAAACGGTACACCTACCTTTCACGATATGCAAAAATTGTCTCAAGATGGATTAAAGTTTTAAATGTAAAGGATATCAAACTATAAAAATGCACAAAGAAAACTGCAGAAACACCACTCTGGACATCAGCGTTGATAAAATGATTCATGACTAAGTCTTGAGAAACAACTGCAACAAAACAAAAAATGGAAAAGTGGGACCTAACTAAGCTAAAGAACTTCTGCACAGCAGCAGAAACCCCCAACAGGGTAAACAGGTAAGCTGCAGAATGGGAGAAGATATTCACAAATTACAGATAGACAAACGTCTAATATCCAGAATGAATAAGGAATTTAAACAATTGAACAAGTAAAAAAACAAATAACTCCATTAAAAGTGGGCAAAAAAATGAACAGACACTTTTCAAAATAAGACATACAAGTGGTTAACAAACATTTGAAAAATGCTCAATATCACTATTCTTAGAGAAATGCAAATCAAAACTGCAATGAGATACCATCTCAAACCAGTCAGAATGGCTACTATTAAAAAATCAAAAAAAAAAAGAGCAGATACTGGCAAGTCCATGGAGAAAAAAGAATGCTTATACACTGTTGGTGGGAATGTTAATTAGTTCAGCTTCTGTGGAAAGCACTCTGGAGATTTCTCAAATACTTTAAAACAGAGCTATCATTCAACACAGCAATCCTATTACTGGGTCTATAACCAAACAAATATAGATCATTATACCAAAAAGGCACATGCATGTGTATGTTCCTCATGGCACTATTCACAAAAGCAAAGATATGAAATCAACCTAGGTGCCCATCAATAGTGGATTAGATAAAAAATATATAGTATATGTATACCACAGAATACTATGCAGTCATAAAAAATATTCTTTGCAGCAACATAGATGCAGCTGGAGGACATATCTTAAGCAAATCCATCTGAGAACAGAAAACCAAATACTGCATGTTCTCTCTTATAAGTGGTAGCTAAACATTGGGCACTCGAGGACATAAAGATGGCAACAATAGACACTGGAGACTGTTAGAGGGGGAAGCTAGGGAGGGACACAAGAGTTGGAAAACTAGCTGTCACGTATTATGCTGAGTACCTTGGTGACAGGATAATTCATACCCCAAACATCAGCCTCACGTAGTATACCCAAGTAACAATCCTCCACATGTACCCACTGAATCTAAGATAAGTTGAATAAACCCCACAACATTTTGTATGTGCTGTCACTACTCCACACAGAAGGAATTAATTTACTCCTGTGCAACAATACTGGGAGAGGACTTTTGGAAGCTTATACCTGATTTCCTCAAGATTTTGCCACATGCACCTTTTTTCATTGTTAATTTTGCCTTCCATCCTTTCACTGTAATAAATAATAGCCATGAGTATTTTTTAAAAATGAGCACAAGAGAACTTTCAGGGTTAATAGAAATGCTCTATATATTATTACTGTGGTGGTAATTATGTGGTCATTTGTCTAAGTTCATTGAATTATTCACCCAAAATTGAATTTATATGTAAATTATACCTCAATAAAACTAATATTTTAAATATGTGTCTTTGGACAAATATCTTAGTCTCTATCAATAGATTGCACAAAAAAGGAACTAAAATTTAAAAGAGACTTTAGAGATATATCAACCATTTGCAATATATGAAGGTATTTTGGAGACAGATTCAACAAAACCAATAAACTGAGAAAAATTATGATATTTATGAGGCAATTGAATAATTTACACTGACTGCATATTTTATAATATGAAGTAATTGATAATTTTATTTTTAAAGCATTAAAATAGTACCACAATTATTTTAAATAATAAAGAGTCCTCATCTTTGAGAGGTATTTACTGACATATTTGCAATTCCTGGAAATTGCTTCAAAATAATATAGGAAGTAGTAGAGTAATAGATTAGATTCAATGCTATTCCTATCAAAGTACCAACAGCATTCTTCACAGAAGTAGAAAAAAGTCTATTTCAAAATCCATATGGATAAAAAAAGAGCCTGCATAGCCAAGAAAATTCTAAGTAAAAAGAACAAAGCTGGAGGCATCACATTGCCCAACTTCAAACTATAATATAAGGCTACAGTAACCAAAACACCATGTTACTGGTACAAATACAGGCACATAGACCAATGGAACAGTATAGAGAGCCCAGAAATAAGGCCACACACCTACAACTACCTGATCTTTGGCAAAATAGACAAAACAAGCAATGGAAAAAAGACCCCCTATTCAATAAATGGTTCTGGGATAACTGGCTAGCCATACGTGGAAGCTTGAAGCTGGACCCCTTCCTTACACCATATACAAAAGCAACTCAAGATGGATTAAAGACTTAAATGTAAAACCCAAAACTACAAAAACCCTGGAAGACAACCTAGAAAATACCATCCTGGACATAGGAATGAACAAAGATTTCATGACAAAGACATCAAAAGCAATCACAACAAAAGCAAAACTTGACATGTCGGATTTAATTAAACTTAAGAGCTTCTGCACAGCAAAAGAAACTATCAGCAGAGTAAACAGACAACCTACAGAATAGGAGAAGATATTTTTCAAACTATGCATCTGACAAAGGTCTAATATCCAGCATCTATAAGGAACTTAAACAGATCTACAAGAGAAAAACAACCCCATTAAAAAGTGGGCAAACTACATAAACAGACACATTTCAAAAGAAGGCATACATGTAGCCAACAAGCAGATGAAAAAAGCTCAGTATCACTGATCATTAGAGAAATGCAAATCAAAAACACAATGAGATACCATCTCAAAGCAGTCAGAATGGCTATTATTAAAAAGTCAAATAGGCTGGGTGCCCCGGTGGCTCAAGCCTGTAATCCCAGCACTTTGGGAGGCCGAGGTGGGCAGATCACAAGGTCAGGAGATCGAGACCATCCTGGCTAACACGGTGAAACCCTGTCTTTACTAAAAATACAAAAAAAAAAAAAAAAAAATTAGCAGGGCGTGGTGGCGGGTGCCTGTAGTCCCAGCTACTTCGGAGGCTGAGGCAGGAGAACGGTGTGAATCTGGGAGGTGGAGCTTGCAGTGAGCTGAGATTGCACCACTGCACTGCAGCCTGGGCAACAGAGTGAGACTCCATCTCAAAAAAAAAAAAAAAAGTCAAATAATAACATATGCTGGCAAGGTTGTAGAGAAAAGGGAACACTTATACCCTGTTGGTTGGCGTGTAAATTAGTTCAACCATAGTGGAAAGAAGTAGGGCCATTCCTCAAAGAGCTAAAAGCAGAACTACCACTGGACACATCAATCCCATTACTGAGTATATACCCAGAGGAATATAAATTATTCTACCATAAAGACACATACACACAAGTTTTCATTGCAGCACTATTTGCAATAGCAAAGACAGGGATCAACCTAAATACCCCTCAATGACAAATTGGATAAAGAAAAATGTGGTACATATACATCATGGAATACTATGCAGCCATAAAAAAACGAAGATCATGTCTTTTGTAGGAACATGGATGGAGCCGGAGGCTGTTGCCCTTAACAAGCTAACACAGGAACAGAAAACCAAATACCACGTGTTCTCACATATAAGTGGAAGCTAAATATTAACAACTTATGAACACAAAGAAGGAAACAACAGGCACTGGGGTCTGCATGTGGTGGGAGGGTGGAAGGAGAGAGAGGAATAGAAAAGATAACTATTGGGTACTGGGCTTAATACCTGGGTGATGAAATAATATGTACAACAAATATCTGTGACATGTGTTTACCTATGTAACAAAATTTCACATGTATCTCTAAACCTAAAATAAATTAAAAAAAATTAGTCATGACTTGAAAATTGTTGATGCAGATGGTGGGCATATTAGGTTTCATTAGATTATTTTGTGTACTTAGGTATATGTTTAAAAGTTTTGTATAATAAAAAACATTTAAAATTGGCTGGAGGGAAAACTTTTCCCTCTTTTTCACATTCCACCAATTACAAAAAAAGCCAAGTTTTAGAACAAAGCAGAATTAGTATATTGAATGTTTATTTTTTAAAGCAACTGTTGGAAGTGACAGCACTTATTTAGATGCCTCCCTTTAATATGATTGTGTTTCATTAATGAATTATGAAAAACAGAGTTTATATAGACACTTTTATTAATTTATTATTTATAAAATAATTTTATATATGCTTTTATGGTAACCATCATTATACTCTCTATCTCCATGAGTTCAACTGTTTTAACTTTTACCTCCCACAAATGAGTGAGAATATGTGAAGTTTGCCTCTTTGTGCCTGGCTTCCTTTGCTTAACATAATGTCTTCCAGTTCCATCCACGTTGTTGCTAATGACAGGATTTCTTCTGTGTATGAAGCCAAATTATATTCTTATGTGTAAATGTGTTCATATATATGTGATTCATGTATATGTGATATATATGTAATACACACATATATATGCATATATATATCACAGTTTTTAAATTCATTTATGCATCAATAAATGTTTAGGTAGATTACATATCTTGGCTCTTGAGAATAATGCTGCAATAAACATGAAAGTGCAAATATCTCCTAGGTATAGTAATTTTATATCCTTTAAGTATATGTCCAGTATTGGAGTGGATGGAACATATAGTAGTTATCTTTTTAATTTCTTGAGAAATCTCCAACTGTTTTCTATAATGGCTGTGCCAATTTACATTTCCACCAACAGTACACAAGGATTCCCTTTTTTCCACGTTTGAACCAATACTTGTTTACTTTTTAAATAATAGTCATCCTAAAATATGTAATGTGATATCCTACTGAGATTTTAGTTTACATTTTTCTGATAATTAATGATATTCATCATCTTTTTATATACCTATTGGCCATTTATATGTTTTAGTTGAAGAAATGTCCATTCAGGTGCTTTGCCCACTTTTTTTGACTTTTATTTTAAGTTGAGGGGTACAAGCGTAGGTTTGTTACACAAGTAAACTTGTGTCATAGGTGTTTGTTATACAGATTATTTCATCTCCCAGCTATTAAGCCTAGTACCCATTAGTTATTTTTTTCTTTGCCCAAATTAATGTGTTAATTCACTTTGTTTGATATTCAGTTTTATGGTTTTCTTGTATATATTTGACATTAACTTTTTATTAGATGTATCATTTGCAAGTATTTTCTCCTATTCTTTAAAGTGCCTTTTGATTTTGTTCATTGTTTGCTTTAGTGTGCTAGATCATTTTAGTTGATACAATCCTCCTTGTTTATTTTTTGCTTTTTTTGCCTGAGCTTGTGGTGCCATCTTCAAAAAACAATTGTCAAGACCAATTTCAAGTTTTTTTTTCCTGTTTTTTATTTTATTTTTTGGTAGGTGTTTTATGGTTTCAGTTCTTACCACTAAGTCTTCAATTCAAGTGAAGTTGATTTTTCTGTGTGGTGAAAAATGGTGCAATTTTATTTTTTTAAAAAATATTTTTATTTTAAGTTCTGGGGTACATGTGCAGGATGTGCAGGTTTGTTACATATGTAAACGTGTGATATGGTGGTTTGCTGGTCTAATTTTACTCTATTGCATGTAAATAATATTGCATCTTTTCCAGCAGCATGTATTGAAGACACTGTTCTTTCTGCACTGTATATTTGTGGCGTACTTTATGGAAATTAATTGATGTTATGTAGGGGTTTATTACTGGGCTTTTTATTCTATTTCATCAGTCTATGTGTCTGTTTTTATGCCAGTACCACATGTTTTGGTTACTAAAGCTTTATAACATAATTTGAAATCCGAAAGGGTGATACTTCTTGTTTTGTTTTGCTTTGTTTTGTTTTCAAAATTCATTAGCTGTTTCGGTTCTTTAGTGGTTCCACAAGGATTTTATAATTGCTTTTTCTATTTCTGTAAAGAACGTCATAGTAATTTTGATAGGGATTTCATCGAATCAGATTACTTGGAGTAGTAATAGTAAAGCATAATGAAAGATGTTCATTTGCCTTGCAGATAGGCTGCCAAGAAAAAGAAAGAGAAGATAGTACACAAATTGTTTGGAAAGCTAAGTATTTTCTCTTAAAGAGAAAAGGTTCTTGCAGTCAGACGTGGTGGCTCACGCCTGTAATCCCAGCACTTTGGGAGGCCGAGGCAGGTGGATCACAAGGTCAGGAGATTGAGACCATCCTGGCTAACACAGTGAAACCCCCTCTCTACTAAAAATACAAAAAAAAAAAAAAAATAGCCGGACATGGTGGTGGATGCGCGTAGTCCCAGCTGCTTGGGAGGCTGAGGCAGGAGAATGGCATGAGCCCGGGAGGCGGAGCTTGCAGTGAGCCAAGATGGTCTCGATCTCCTGACCTCGTGATCCACCTGCCTCGGCCTCCCAAAGTGCTGGGATGACATGCAGAGCCAATAAAAGCCCCTTTGGAAAACTGGCCTCATACCTTGTCTAAACAGTTGCTGTACAGGTTTCCTAACCTGTGGTGAATAAAGAATGTTACTTTCTAAGAGGCCCAGGAACGCCATGTTCTTGGATCCTTAAGAAGAAGTTTACCCAACTCATAGGTATTTGATGGCTGGGCTCAGCTGTAATAAGTCCTGTCTGATATCCCTTGTGAAACAGAGTTCCATCAGAGCCACTTTAAAAAGCGTATGTAAAATTAATTATTTTTGCTGCACTTTATGCAATAATCAGGCCAAGTATAAGAATAAATTTTATTTTGCAAACTACTAATTCTTGTCATGATTTGCTTTTAAGAAAAATGAGGATGGGAGTGAGAGAAATTTTGTTTCTAAATTTATCACACATTTGTCATTAAATTCTAGACTCAATAGTCATTTGTAAGTTTTTTGCCCACATTTATTTCAGGCTTTTTTTTTATTATTATACTTTAAGATCTGGGATACATGTGCAGAACATGCAGGTTTGTTACATAGGTATACACATGCCATGGTGGTTTGCTGCACCCATCAACACGTCATATACATTAGATCTTTCTCCTAATTCTATCCCTCCCCTTGCCCCCAACCCCTGACAGGCCCGGTGTGTGATGTTTCCCTCCCTGTGCCCATATGTCCTCATTGTTCAACTCACACTTACGAGTGAGAACATGAAATGTTTGGTTTTCTGTTCCTTTGTTAGTTTGCTGAGAATGATGATTTCCAGCTTCATCCATGTCCCTGCAAAGGACATAAACTCATTCTTTTTTATGAATGCATAATATTCTATGGTGTACATGTGCCACATTTTCTTTATCCAGTCTAACATTGATGGGCATTTGGGTTGGTTCCAAGCCTTTGCTATTGTGAATAGTGCTGCAATAAACATACGTGTGCATGTGTCTTTATAGTAAAGGATTTATAATACTTTAGTATATACTCAGTAATGGGATTGCTGGGAGGAATGATATTTCCAGTTCTAGATCCCTGAGGAATCATCATACTGATTTCCACAATGGTTGAACTAATTTACAATTCCACCAACAGTGTAAAAGCATTCCTGTTTCTCCACATCTTCTCCAGCATCTGTGGTTTCCTGACATTTTAATGATGGCCATTCTAACTGGTGTGAGATGGTATCTCATTGTGGTTTTGATTTGCATTTCTCTAATGACCAGTGATGGTTAGCTTTTTTTCATATGTTTGTTGGCCACATAAATGTCTTCTTTTGAAAAGTGTTTGTTCACATCCTTTGTCCACTTTTTGATGCGGTTGTTTTTTTCTTGTAAATTTGTTTAAGTTTCTTGTAGATTCTGGATATTAGCCCTTTGTCAGATGGATAGATTGCAAAAATATTCTCCCATTCTGTAGGTTGCCTGTTCACTCTGATGATAGTTTCTTTTGCTGTGCAGAGGCTCTTTAGTTTAATTAGATCCCATTTGTCAATGCTGGCTTTTGTTGCAATTGCTTTTGGTGTTTTAGTCAGGAAGTCTTTGCCCATGCCTAAGTTTTGAATGGTATTGCCTAGGTTTTTTTCTAGGGTTTTCATGGTTTTAGGTCTTAACGTTTAAATCTTCTATCCATCTTGAGTTAATTTTTGTATAAGGTGTAAGGAAGTGGTCCAGTTTCAGTTTTATGCATATGGCTAGCCAGTTTTCCCAATACCATTTATTAAATATGGAATCCTTTTCTCATTGCTTGTTTTTGTCAGGTTTGTCAAAGATAAGATGGTTATAGATGTGTGGTGTCACACATCTGAGGCCTCTGTTCTGTTCCATTGGTCTATATATCTGTTTTGGTACCAGTACCATGCTGTTTTGGTTATTGTAGCCTTGTAGTATAGTTTAAAGTCAGGTAGAGTGATGCCTCCAGGTTTGCTCTTTTTGCTTAGGATTGTCTTGGCTATACGGGTTCTTTTTTTGATTCCATATGAAATTTAAAGTAGTTTTTTTCTAATTCTGTGATGAAAGTCAATGGTAGCTTGATGGGAATAGCATTGAATCTATAAATTACTTTTGGCAGTATGGTCATTTTCACAATATTGATTCTTCCTATCCATGAGCATAAAATGTTTTTCCATCTGCTTGTGTCCTCCTTTATTTCCTTGAGCAATGGTTTGTAGTTCTCCTTGAAGAGAAGCTTCACATCCCTTGTAAGTTGTATTCCTAGGTATTTTATTATCTTTGTAGCAATTGAGAATGAGAGTTTGCTCATGATTTGGCTCTCTGTTTTTCTGTTATTGATATATAGAAATGCTTGTGATTTTTGCACATTGATTTTGTATCCTGAGACTTTGCTGAAGTTGCTTATCCGCTTATGAATTTGTGGGGGTGAGACAATGGGGTTTTTAAACTATACAATCATGTCATCTGCAAACAGAGATACTTTGACTTCCTCTCTTCCTATCTGAATGTCCTTTATTTCTTTCTCTTGCCTGATTGCTCTAGCTAGAACGTCCAATACTATGTTGAGTAGGAGTGGTGAGAGAGGGCACCCTTGTCTTGCACCTATTTTCAAAGGGAATGCTTCCATCTTTTGTCCATTCATTATGATATTGGCTATGGGTTTGTCATAAATAGCTCTTATTGTTTTGAGATATATTCCATCAATACCTAGTTTATTGAGTGTTTTTACCATGAAGGGGTGTTGAATTTTATCAAAGGCCTTTTCTGCATCTATTGAGATAATCATGTGGTTTTTGTCATTGGATCTGTTTATGTGATGGATTATGTTTATTGATTTGTGTATGTTGAACCAGCCTTGCATCCCAGGGAAGAATTTGTCTTGATCGTGGTAAATAAGCTTTTTGATGTGCTGCTGGATTTGGTTATCCAGTATTTTACTGAGGATTTTTCCATTGATTTTCATCAGGGATATTGGCCTGAAATTTTTTGTTTTTGTTGTGTCTCTGCCAGGTTTTGGTATCAGGATGATGCTGGCCTCATAAAATGAGTTAGGGAGGAGTCCCTCTTTTTCTACTGTTTGGAATAGTTTCAGAAGGAATGGTACCAGTTCCTCTTTGTACCTCTGATATAATTTGGCTGCGAATCTGTCTGGTCCTGGGCTTTCGTTGGCTATTAATTAATAGCTGTTTTTCTAGGCTATTAATTACTGCCTCAATTTCAGAACTTGTTATTGGTCTATTCAGGGATTCAACTTCTTTCTGGTTTAGTCTTGGGAGAGTGTATGTGTCCAGGAATTTATCCAGTTCTTCTAGATTTTCTAGTTTATTTGCATAGAGGTGTTTATAGCATTCTCTGGTGGTAGTTTGTATTTCTTTGGGATCAGTGGTGATCTCCCCTTTATCATTTTTTATTGTGCCTATTTGATTCTTATCTCTTTTCTTCTTTATTAGTCTGGCTAGCACTCTATCTATTCTGTTAATCTTTGCAATAAACCAGCTCCTGGATTCATTGATTTTTTGAAGGGTTTTTTTTGTGTCTATTTCCTTCAGTTCTGCTTTGATCCTAGTTATTTCTTGTCTTCTGTTAGCTTTTGAATTTACTCTTGCTTCTCCAGTTTGCTTTATTGTGATGTTAGGGTATTGATTTTAGATTATTCCCACTTTCTCCTGTGGGCATTTAGTGCTATAAATTTCACTCTAAACACTGCTTTAGCTGTGTCCCAGAGATTCTAGTATGTTGTGTCTTTGTTCTCATTGGTTTCAAAGAACTTATTTATTTCTGCCTAAATTTCTTTATTTACCCATTAGTCATTCAGGAGCATGTTGTTCAGTTTCCATGTAGTTGTGCAGTTTTGAGTGAGTTTCTTAATCCTGAGTTCTAATTTGATTGCACTGTGGTCTGACAGACTGTTTATTATTATTTCCATTTTTTTGCATTTGCTAAGGAGTGTTTTACTTCCAATTATGTGGTCAATTTTCGAACAAGTGCTATGTGGTGCTGAGAAGAATGTATATTCTATTTATTTTGGGTGGAGAGATCTGTAGATGTCTATTAGGTCTGCTCAGTCCAGAGCTGAGTTCAAGTCTTGAATATACTTGTGAATTTTCTGTCTCGTTGATCTGTCTAATATTGACAGTGGAGTGGTAAAGTCTTCCACTGTTATTGTGTGGGAGCCTAATTCTCTTTCTAGGTCTCTAAGAACTTGCTTTATGAATCCAGGTCCTCCTGCATTGGGTGCATATATATTTAGGATAGTTAGCTCTTCTTGTTGCATTGATCCCTTTACCATTATGTAAAGCCCTTCTTTGTGTTTTGTGATCTTTGTTGGTTTATAGTCTGTTTTATCAAAGACTAGGATTGCAAACCCTGCTTTTTTTTTTCTTTACATTTGCTTGGTAAATCTTCCTCCATCCCTTTATTTTGAGCCTATGTGTGTCTTTGCACGTGAGGTGTGTCTCCTGAATACAGCACACCAATGAGTCTTGACTCTGTATCCAACTTGGCAATCCGAGCCTTTTAATTGGGGCATTTAGCTCATTTACATTTAAGGTTAATAATGTTATGTGTGAATTTGATCCTGTCATTATGATGCTAGCAGGTTATTTTGTCCATTAGTTGATGCGGTTTCTTCATAGTGTTGATGGTCTTTACACTTTGGTTTGTTTTTGCAGAGGCTGGTACAGGTTTTTCCTTTCCATATTTAGTGCTTCCTTCTGGAGCTCTTGTAAGGCAGGCCTGGTGGTGTCAAAATCCCTCAGCATTTGCTTGTCTGTAAAGGATTTTATTTATTCTTCACTTCTGAAGCTTAGTTTGGCTGGATATGAAATTCTGCATTGAAAATTCTTTTTTTAAAGAATGTTGAATATTTGCCCCCACTCTCTTCTGGCTTGTACCATTTCTGCAGAGAGACCAGCTATTAGTTTGATAGGCTTCCCTTTGTGGGGAACCCCACCTTTCTCTCTGGCTGCCCTTAACATTTTTTCCTTTATTTCAACCTTGGTGAGTCTGACGATAATGTGTTTTGGGGTTGCTCTTCTCGAGGAGTATTTTTGTGGTGTTCTCTGTATTTCCTGAATTTGAATGTTGGCCTCTCTTGCTAGGTTGGGGATGTTCTCCTGGATAATATCCTGAAGAGTGTTTTCCAATTTGGTTCTATTCTCCTCATCACTTTCAGGTACACCAATCAAATGTAGGTTTGGTCTTTTCACACGGTCCCATATTTCTTGGAAGCCTTGTTCGTTCCTTTTCCTTCTTTTTTCTCTAATCTTGTCTTCACACTTTATTTCATTAAGTCGATCTTCAATCTCTGATCTTCTTTCTTCCTCTTGATCGATTCATCTGTTGATACTTGTGTATGCTTCATGAAGTTCTTGTGATGTGTTTTTCAGCTCCATCAGGTCTTTTATGTTCTTCTCTAAACTGGTTATTCTAGTTAGCAATGCATGTAGCCTTTTTTCAAGGTTCTCACCTTCCTTGCAGTGGTTTAGAACATGCTCCTTTAGCTTGGAGGATTTTGTTATTATCCACCTTCTGAAGCCTACTTCTGTCAATTCGTCAAACTCATTCTCTGTCCAGTTTTGTTCCCTGGCTGGTGAGGAGTTGTGATCCTTTGGAGTAGAAGAGGTGTTCTGGTTTTTGGAATTTTCAGCCTTTTTGCACTGGTTTTTCCTCATCTTCATAGATTTATCTACCTTTGTTCTTTGATATTGGTGACCTTCGAATGGGGTTTCTGTGTGGACGTCCTTTTCTTCTTGATGTTGATGCTATTCCTTTCTCTTTGTTAGTTTTCCTTCTAACAGTCAGGACCCTCTGCTGCAGGTCTGCTGGAGTTTGCTGGAGGTCCACTTCAGACCCTGTTTGCCTGGGTATCACCAGTGGAGGCTGCAGAACAGCAAAGATTGCTGCCTATTCCTTCCTCTGGAAGCTTCGCCCCGGTCATCAAACTATACATTTATAATCTATGTATTTTTTGGTATTTTTATTATACTACAAAACTAATTTTACATAAAAGCAAGGACGATAATATAGTAAATGCATAATATGAACAACTTTACAGTAGTAAATATTAAAATTTAGATAAATTCCTGTCAAAACAATGTAAAAAAACAAGAACAAAAGACAAATATTTGTACATTTTTATACAAATTAAATAAGTTATTTAAAATATTCTAACAAATAAAACTCCAGGCCCAGTTAGTTTCAGTCATGAAGTTTTTGAAATATCTATTTAAGGAATCATGTTATTTTGAACCATTTGTCCAGATTATACGAACAGGAAATTCTTATAAATTTGTTATATGAAGTCAAATAAACCTTGATATAAAAAATTTCTTAACATTACACCAAAGGAAATTTACAGGCCAATATCTCTCATGATTACAGACACAAAAGTTCTTAAAAATTTATCAAAACATATGCATTAATGTGTTTTAAACTAGCATAATACATTGTGTTCATTGGTGCTATGTTGCCAAACCTTATTTGTTTTAGGTTCCACTACTATTTTATACATATTTAATCTCTGTAACTGTATACATTTTATTATCTCACTTTAGTGTTTATATATTTAACACATTGGTAAAGTTCTTTTTAATGTGTCTTTCTAATCTCTAATTTAAATTACTGAAACTAAGCACATAATTAAACATTTATCTCCATTCCTGCTTGTCAGCAATAATGTTCAGCTTTCAAAATTTCCAGTACTGCAGCACTGGTGGCACGTGTTATACCATCTATTAGTTATTTTTGTACATGCATTGCCTCCTGGCTACATTTCAACTGAATTTAAGAGCATTTGTGTAAAGCCTGGGATATGTGAAACAAAAAAATATTATAAAGACATTCAGTATATTCATGAGAAGTAATAAACTACCATATTTGCTTTTGTTTAAAGGTGGCAATTACATATGCAGAAAATAAAACTGGAATTCTTCCTCCTACCATATACAAAAATTAACTCATGATTGATTAGACTTGAATATAAGACCTAAAGTTATAAAAATCCTAGACTAAAATCTAGAAAGTACCATTCTGGACAACAACCTTAGCAAGGAATTTATGACTAAGTTCCCAAAATAAATTGCAATACCAACAAAAAAATTGACAAGTGGGACCTAATGGTACTAAAGAGCTTCTGCACAGCCAAAGAAACTGTCAGCAGAGTAAAGAGACAACATACAGAATGGGAGAAAATAGTTACAAACTATCATCTAACAAAAGTCTAGTATCCAGAATCTACAGAGAATTTAAACAATTCAACAATCTAAAAACAAATAAACCCATTAAAAAGGGGGCAAAGGACATGAACAGACACTTCTCAAAAAAAAGATATTCATGCAGCCAACAAGCATAGGAAAAAATACTCAATTACTAAACATTGGAGAAATGTGTATAAAAACCACATAGAAACTATTTCACACCAGTCAGAATGGCTACTGTTAAAAAGTCAAAAAATAAGAGACTGTGGTGATGTTGCAGAGAAAAAGGAACTCTTATATACTGTTGGTGGGAATGTAAATTAGTTCAGCCACAGTGGAAACCAGTTTGAAGATTTCTCAAAGAACTTAGAACTACCATTTGACCTAGCAATTCAATTACTGGTTATATAGACCCAAAGGAAAATAAATTGCTCTACCAAAAAGGCACATGCACTTATACCTTCATTGCAGCACTATTAACAGTAGCAAAGACATGGAATGAACCTCGTTGTCAATAGATGGTGGACTAGATTTTAAAATGTGATACATATACACTATGGAACACTAGGCAGCCATATAAAGAATAAAATCATGCCCTTTGCAGCAACATGGTTGCAGCTGGAAGCCATTTTCCTAACTGAATTAATGCAAGAACAGAAAACCAAATACCTCACGGTCTCACTTATAAGTGGGGCAAAGTATCAAGTACACATGAACACAAAGATGGAAACAATAGACACTGGAGACTAGTAGTGGGGGAGGATGGAAGAGAGATGAGAGCACTATCAGGTACCATGCTTACTCCCTGGATGATGGGGTCATTTGTACACCAAATCTCAGTTACAAACAATTTCCCCATGTAACAAATGTGCACATGTAACACCGAACCTAAAATAAAAGTTGAAAAAGATAAAGATGGAAATCAAAATATTTAACAACTGTTAAATCAGATGTTCTGAGAAACAAATCTTAATTGTTGCAGGTTATAAAGCTAAAAAGTGGTTGTTGATGCTTTCTGTTGTTTCAATTATTAATGTTTTAGGTATGTATTTTTAGATGGTACATGGAGTTTCAGGTAAAAACTTCTGTTAGTTAGGCACTCAGAGGCTCAGCCAAATAATGGTCTTGTACCCAAAGATTTTAAAAAATTTTAATGTTTTACCAATCATGTTGATGCACACACTGTGATCAAATATGTATGTTTGTTTTCTCTGCAAATGTTATTTTATCAATATTAATTGGTGAAGTTAACATTTAGTGAGAGATATTTGAACAACTTTTGAAAATATACTTGCATATGGTTTAGAAAATACTTTTCTAAACCAAACAAAAAGTGGGAATGGTTAGTGGTGGCATGTGTTTCAGGAAGAGAGACAGAGGAATATGTGAGCATTCTTGAAGAAATGGTTAATGTTTCACTTGTACTGTAGAACATGAGGAACTGAAGGCTGTGTTGGGTGATGATGCTGGTTACAATTATATAATGTTTTTAATTTAGAGCATATTATATGTTATCATTTAGACTTTGGCCTATGTCAATGTGGAACTGATGTGTTTCTTAGAAAAAGATTAACATGCATGTTTGTGTTTGGCTCTTCTTTATTTTATTTTAATTTCATTTTACAATTTCTTGTATTTAAATTTTTTAGAATTTTTACTTTTATACTAATCATAATACTTCAGTTCAGGAAAACTGAGCTGTTTTTCAGGCCATACTGCCTCTCTCTCTCCCCCATCTAGTATTCCCCCCCATCTACTGTTCCAAATTTATGGTTACATGTATTCAATGTTTAGCTCCCACTTATAAGTGAGAACATACAATAGTTGTTTTCCTGTTCTTACATTAATATGCTTAGGACAGTGGCCTTGAGCAGCATCCATAGTTCTGCAAAAGGCAAGATTTTATTCTTTTTTATAGATGCATAGTATTCCATGGTGTACATGTACCATATTTTCTTTATGTAGTCCACCATCGATGGGCATGCAGATTGATTTCATTTTTTTGCTATTGTGAATGATTTTTTGCTATTGTGAATGATTGATTTTTTTGCTATTGTGAATGATTGATTTCATTTTTTTGCTATGATGAACATGTATGTACATGTGTCTTTTTGGTAGAACAATTTTTTTTATTTTAAATATCTACTCAGTAATGGGATTACTGGGTTAAATGGCTGCTCTGTTTTAAGTTCTTTGAGAAATCCCAAACTACTTTTCACAGCAGTTGAACTAATTTATATTTCCACCAGCAGTTTATAAGGATACCCTTTTCTCTGCAATTTCACTGGCAAATTTTTTTCTTTTTATTGATAGCCATTCTGACTGGTGTGAGATAGTAACCCATTCTGGTATTAATTTGCATTTTTCTGATGATTATAGATCCATTTGTACAACTTCTTTTGAAAAGTGTCTGTCTGCAAAACAGATATATAGACGAATGGAACAGAACAGAGACCTCAGAAATAACACCACACATCTACAACCATCTGATCTTTGACAAACCTGACAAAAACAAGCAATGGGGAAAGGATTCCCTATTTAATAAATGGTGCTGAGAAAACTCGCTAGCAATATGTAGAAAGGTGAAACTGGATCCCTTCCTTACACCTTACACAAAAATTAACTCAAGATGGATTAAAGACTTAAATATAAGACCTAAAACCATAAAAACTCTAGAAGAAAACCTAGGCAATACCGTTCAGGACATAGGCATGGGCAATGACTTCATGACTAAAACACCAAAAGCAACGGTAACAAAAGCTAAAACAGACAAATGAGATCTAATTAAACTAAAGAGCTTCTGCACAGCAAAAGAAACTATCATCAGAGTGAACAGGCAACCTACAGAATGGGAGAATATTTTTGCAATCTATCCATCTGACAAAGGGCTAATATCCAGAATCTACAAAGAACTCAAACAAATTTACAAGAAAAAAACAAACAACCCCATCAAAATTGGGCAAAGTATATGAACAGACAATTCTCAAAAGAAGACATTTATGCAGCCAACAGACATATGAAAAAATGCTCATCATCACTGGTCATCAGAGAAATGCAAATCAAAACTGCAATGAGATACAATCTCACACCAGTTAGAATGATGATCATTAAAAAGTCAGGAAACAACAGATGATGGAGAGGATGTGGAGAAATAGGAATGCTTTTACACTTTCGGTGGGAGTGTAAATTAGTTCAACCACTGTGGACGACAGTGTGGTGATTCCTCAAGGATCTCGAACTAGAAATACCATTTGACCAAGCAATCCCATTACTGGGTATGTGCCCAAAGGATTATAAATCATGCTACTATAAAGATACATGCACATGTATGTTTATTGCATCACTATTCACAATAGCAAAGACTTGGAACCAACCCAAATGTCCATTAATAATAGACCAGATAAAGAAAATGTGGCACATATACACCATGGAATACTATGCAGCCATAAAAAGGGATGAGTTTATGTCCTTTGCAAGGATATGGATGAAGCTGGAAACCATCATTCTCAGCAAAATATCACAAGGACAAAAAACCAAACACCGCATGTTCTCACTCATAAGTGGGAGGTGAATAACGAGAACACATGGACACAGGGAGGGGAATGTCACACACCAGGGCCTGTTGGGGGGTGGGGGGTTGGGGGAGGGATAGTGTTAGGAGAAATACCTAATGTAAATGACGAGTTGATGGATACAGCAAAGCAACATGGCACGTGTATACCTATGTAACAAATCTGCATGTTGTGCACATGTACCCTAGAACTTAAAGTATAATAATAATAATAAAAAAGAAAAGTGTCTGTCTGTTCATGTCTTTTGCCCATTTTATATTTGTATTATTGGGTTTTTTTGTTTAATTTTTCTATAGATTCTAGATATTTGACCTTTTTCAGAAGCATTGTTTGAAAATATTTTTTTCCCATTATGAAGGCTGTCTGTTTACTCTGGTGGCAATTTATTTTGCTCTGCAGCAAATCTTTAGTTTATTTAGGTCTCAATGTCAATTTTTGTTTTTTGTTGCAATTGTTTTTGGGGACTTAACCATAAATTCTTCACCAAAGCTGATATTGAGAAGAGTACTTCCTAGATTTCCTTTTTTATTTTATTATTATTTTTTGAGACAGGATCCCTCTCTGTCGCCTGGACTGGAGTGCAGTGATGTGATCTCAGCTCAGCTTACTGCACCCACACCTCTCGAACTCAAGTGATCCTCCCACCTCAGCCTCCCAAGGAGCTGGGACTACAGGCACATGCCATCATGCCCTGTTAATTTTTGTATATTTTGTGTAGGAGTGGTCTTACCATGTTGGTGTTGCCCAGGCTTGTCTCGAACTCCTGAGTTTAAGCAATCTGCCCACCTTCACCTCCCAAAGCACTGAGATTATAGGCATGAGCAACCACTCCCAGCTAAATTTCCTTGTAGAATTTTTATAGTTTCACATCTTACATTTAAGTCTTTAGTCTATCTTGAGTTAATTTTTGTATATGGTGAGAATTAGTAGTGTATTTTTATTGTTTTGCATATGGGTAGCCAGTTGTCCTAGTACCATTTATCAAATATGGAATCATTTCCCCATTGCTTATTTTTGTTGATTTTGTCAAAGATCAGATTGTTCTAGGTGTGTAAGTTTATTTCTTAATTATTTACTGGTCTATTTATATTTTTTTACCAGTGACTTTTTTTTTTTTTTTTTTTTTTTGGTTACTGTAACCTTATAGTACAGTGTGAAATGGAAATACATGATACTGTTGGGTTTGTTCTATTTGCTTGGGATTGCTTTGTCTATCCTGGCTTTTTTTTTTTTTGTCTCAAATAAATTTTAGAATAGATTTTTCTAATTCCATGGAAAATGACACTGATATTTTTATAAAGATAGAATTGAATCTGTAAATTTTTTTGAAACTATAACCATTTAAAAATATTGATTCTCCCAATGCATGAGAATGAAATGTTTTTCCATTTATTTTTTTTCATCTCTGATTTCTTTCAGCAGTGTTTTGAGGTACTCCTTGTAGAGCTCTTTCATCTTTTGGTTCGATGAGTTCCTGAGTATTTCATTTTTATGATTTCTATGTGGCTATTGTGAGTGGCTTTGTATTCTTGATTTGCTTCTCAGCTAGAACATTATTGGTAAATGGAAATGCTACTGATTTTTTGTGAGTTAACTTTGTATCCTGAAACTTTACTGAATTCATGTTCCAGTTCAAGGAGAATTAGAATGATTCTTTTGGGTTTTCTATGTATAGAGTCCATATCACCAGCAAAGAGAGATAGTTTGACTTCTTTTCCTATTTTGATGCCTTTTATTTCTTTCTGTTGCCTGATTATTCTGACTGGGACTTCCGGTACTATGCTAAATGGGAGTGGTGAAAGTAAGCATCCTTGCCTTGTTACAGTTCTCAAGCAGGATGGTTCCAGCTTTTGGCCATTCAGTATGGTGTTGCTAGTGAGTTTGTCATAGACGGCTCTTACTGTTTCAAGGTTTGTTTTTTAGATGCCTAGTTTGTCGATGATTTTTATTATAAAAAGATGTTGGATCTCATTGAAGGCTTTATCTGCATCTATTGCAATGATCATGTGTGTTTTTATTCTATTTATGTGATTAATCATATTTATTGATTTGCATATATTAGACCAACCTTGTATTTCAGTAATAAAGCCTATATGATCATGGTAAATTAACTTTTGGATATGTTGCTGGATTCAATTTCCTAGTACTTTTTTTATTATTTTTGCATCAAAGTTCATCAGGGATATTGGTAAGAAGCTTTCTTTGTTTGGTAGGTCTCTCCCAAATTTTGGTATCAGCATGATGCTAGCTTCTTAGATTAAGTTAGGAAGAAGTTCCTCCTCCTAAGTATTTTGAAATAGATTCAGTATAATTGGCATCACTTCTTCTTTGTACGTGTGGGAGAATTCAGTTGTTATTCCATTTGGTATTTTGTGGTTTGTAGGATTTTGTGGTTGGTAGGATTTTTATTAATGATTCCATCTCTGAACTTCTTGTTGATCTATTCATATTGTTACTTTCCTCCTGGTTCAATTTTGGGAGACTGTGTGTCTCCGGGAATTCATCCATTTTCTCTACATTTTCTAATTAATTTGCATAGAGGTGCTTATAATACTCTCTGAGGTTCCTCTGTATATTTCTATGAGATTGGTTGTAATATCATTTGTCATTTCTAATTCCACTTTTTTGGATTTTCTGTTTGTTTTTTCTGTGTTAATGTGGCTAATGGTTTATCAATCCTGTTTATTTTTCAAAGAACCAATTCTTGGTTTAATTGATCTGATCTTTTTGTGGACTTTTTGGTCTCAGTTTTATTCAGTTCATCTCTGAGTTTAGTTATTTTTTATCTTCTATTAGCTGAAATTTGCTTTATGGCTGAGCATATAGTCTATCTTAGAATATGCTGTGTGCAAATGAGAAGAATGCATTGTCTGTCGTTGCTGGGTGATGTATTCTTTAGATGTCTGTTTTGTCCAATTAGTCAAGTGTTAGGTTTAAGTCCAAAATTTATTTGGTATTTTTCTTCCTTAATGACCTGTCTAACAATTTCATTGGAGTATTAAAGTTCCCCACTATTATTTTGTGCCCTTGTAAGGCTTTGCATAGGTCAAGAAGAACTAGTTTTGTGAATCTAGGTGCTCCAGTATTGTGTTTGCATAGATTTAGGGCAATTAAGTCTTTTGCTGAATTGAACCTTTTATTATGCAATTCCTTTCTTTGTTCTTCTTGACTGTTTCTGGTGAAATCTGTTTTATCAAGAGTAGTGACTCCTGCTCTTTTTTTAAATTTTCTGCTTGCATAGTAGGCCTTCCTGCATCCCTTTACTTTTAACTTGCATATGTCATTACGTGTGAGGTGCAACACTTGAAGACACCAGACTGTTATGTCTTGTCTTTTTATCCAACTTGTCACTCTATTCCTTTTAAGTGGGACATTTAGGCCATTTACATTTAGGGTCAGTATTGATATACAAGATTTTGATCTTGTCATAGTGTTGTTGGCTGCTTGTTTTGTAGACTTGATTGCATAATTGTTTTATATTGTCTGTGGGCTATGTGCTTGAGTGTGTTTTTGTGTTAGCAGGTTTCAATCTTTTGTTTCCATATTTAGTACTCCCTTAAGAAACTTGTGTAAGCATGGTTGGATTGTTATAAATTCCCAGCAGTTAATATAGTGTGAAAAGATTTGTATGAGAGGAGATTGGAGCTAGGAAAGTCAAGTTATAGTCTGCTGTAGTTCACATGAGAGATAATAAGGACTTGAACTAAGCCAATATAGAGAGTAAAAGACACAGATGGTAAAAATAGAATAGATTCAAAAATATTTAAAATATTACCACTTTTAAAAAGTTGGATTTTTAAAAAGTTGGATATAAGGTATGTGAGAAAATTAGGAGAAAAAAATGGTGACAATGAAGCTTAAAAGCAAGATAAGAAATATAAGGCAAAACAAACATTTTTAGACAAACATTTTGGAATACAGTAGCATTACATATCTATTTATTGAAGAAAGCAAGACAAATTGGTACCAACTAGTTATAGAACAAAATGACGTTTCAATATAAAGAATTAAAATTAAAATATATTTCAGTTTGATAGTCATAGTTCTGTAATATTTCTGTTATTACAAGGGAACTTTATTTCTATTTATTTATAAAGATTACGTGAATCTCAAAGTAGATTTTTATAGTCCAGGAATCTACTTCTAAACCAGTGGTCACAGGCTTATCATACATAATATTATTCTGGTTGACCTCTCAACATTGAGGTTGTTTATATTTTATAAATTTTATAACTAATGTTTTAATTAATTTGACAAATAACAAATATGTCCATGTAGATTTTCTCCCCACTTTCTTTTGTTAGATTTTAAAATGAAATCTACTTCTGCCAATTGAATAAACTTCTAAGGATAAAGAAGCAAACTGCTTTAGTCTAAATTTGTAAACTATATTGAAGATTAAACATTAACAGGTTTGAGTAAAATTGAGCTACTTTTGTGGGCACTAGACTACAATCCATATTCTGATATAATAGCTGAAAATGTATGTAATGGCCAGTAGAAATACATAAGCACAATAATTTGGATATGTCAGATCAATTTACATGGAATTTAAATAATTTATTTTCACATTAAACTTAATGAATAACAGTGTACAATTAATAAGTATCAAAATCTTATTTTGTTACGGTTAGAACACTCAACATGAGATCTGCCTTCTTAACAAAATTTTAAGTGTACTAATACACTATTTTTGCTATAAGTACAATGTTATACAGTAAATCTCTAGAGCCTATTAATCATAATTAATTTAAACTTTACATCTGTTGATTAGTAATGCCCCATTTACCCTTCCCTTCAGGACCTGGCAACCACCATTTCACTTGCATTCTATGAATTTGACTATTATGGACATACCATGTAAATGAAATCATGCAGTATTTGTCCTTCTGTGACTGGCTTATTTGACTTAGTATAATGTTCTCAAAGTTTATCTATATTAGAAGCAGCTGTGGTGCATGGCTCTCATGGAAAATAACAAAAGGGGTGAGTAAATATAGCACCTTTAACTAAAACATCCAAGTACTTGTGTTGGGACTCATGAGGGAAATAGCTCAATCCGCAGAGAATGGAGAAAAGCAGGGCATGGTGTCAGCCCGCCTGAGAATGACATGGAGCCAAGGGAACCTCCTTCTGCCCAGGGAAGCAGTGAGTGAATCTGTGACCCCTGGAAACCATGCATCTCCCACAAACCTTTGCAATCCTCAGGTCAAGAGATCCCCTCCTGATCCCACTCCACCAGAGCCTTTGGTCTGACACACACAGCTGTGTGGAGTCTCAGCGGAGCAGCTGCTCAGGCATGCACAAAGACCCAGGGGCTTTATGTACTCTGGCTCTCGGTTCCCTGGCAAATGGGACTGTAACTCAGGCAAGGTGGGAGGTTGGACCTCCATACATACCACTAGTATGGGAGCTGAATCCAGGGGGCCAAGTAGTGATGATCTGCGGGCCCCACTTCTATGGCACCTCATAGGATAAGGCCCACTGGTTTGGAATTTCAGCCAGCCACTAGCACAAGTGCTGCACCTACCTGAGATGAGACGGAGTCTGCAAGGGGAAGAGTGGGCTGCCATCTTCACTATTTGGGTGACTCAGCCATTCCAGCCTGTGGGCCTTGGAGTGTCCAAAATGCCTGGGGGTGCAAAAGATCTGTCAGCACAGCACAGCTGCTCTACCAAAAGTCGCCTAACTGCTTTTTTAAACAGGTCCTTGATTTGCGTCCACACTGGGCTTCCCCAACTGGGGCCTCCAGTTCCTTGGCCCAAGAGATTTGATTTCTCCCTGGGATGGAGTCCCCAGAGAAAGGGGCAGGCTGTTTTAGGTGACTTAGACGTTCTACCTGCAGCCTTTGGAGTGCCCGAGCCCACCAAGGCAGAAGCAGTTCCCCGGCACAGCACAGGTGCTTTATGAAAACACGGCCAGACTGATTCCTTAAGTGGGTCCCCAATCCATTCCTTCTCACTGGGCAAGACCTCCCAACTGGAGCCTCCAATCACTTCTGACAATATTCTTTTGCCAACAAAGATTTAAAAACTTCCTGGGACAGAGCTCCTAGAGGAAAGGGCAGGCCACTATCTTTGCTGTTTCAGCAACTTAGCTGTTCCAGTCTCCCGGCTTTGGAAAGCCCAAGGTGACTGAGGGTGGAAGTGATATCCCAGCACAGTACAGTTGCTCTACAAAAGCATGGCTAGCCTGCTTTTTTTAAGTAGGTCCCCGATCCCCTTCCTCTCCCCTTTCTTCTCACTGGGTGAGACCTCCCAACTGGGGTCTCTAGCCACCTCCTGCAAGTACATTTGGGCTGGCAACAGGTTTGTACCACCCTGGGATGGAGCTCCCAGAGGAAGGGAAATGCTGCCATTTTTGATGTTTTGCAGCCTTCACTGGTGATAACTCCAAGTACTGAAAAATCTGAGGTGGCTAGGGACCAGGTGACTAGGGACCCCAGAAAACCACAGCAATCCTACAGAAAAGTGGCCATACTGTTAAAAGTGTAAAATAAAAAATCCAAACAATTTTTCTGGGCTTATCTACCTTCAATCTTTGAGGTCAACAACCTCAATAATAAGCCCAGAAAGATGAGAAAGAATCAGTGCAAGAATGCTGAAAACTCAAAAAGCCAGAGTGCCCTCTTTCCTCCAAATGATTGCATCACCTCCCCAGCAAGGGTTTGGAACTGGGCTGAGGCTGAGATGGCTGAAATGACAGAAGTAGAATTGACAATGTGGATAAATTGAACTTCACTGAGCTAAAAGAGCATGATGTAACACAAAGCAAGGAAGCTAAAAACTGATAAATCATTGCAGGAGCTGAAAGACAAAATACCCACCATAGAGAAGAATATAACTGACCTGATAGAGCTAAAAACACACTACAAGAATTTTGTAATGTAATTGCAGGTATTAACACCATAATAGACCAAGTGGAAGAAGGAATCTCAGAGTTGAAGACTGTCTTTCTAAAATAAGACAGGCAGACAAGAATAGAGAAAAATTTTTCAAAAAAAAACTATTTTCTGATAAGACAGGCTTTCAACCAATGAGTAACAAAAAAGACATAAAAAGGGCATTATGTAATGGTAAAGTGTACAATTCAACAGGAAGATCTAACTACCCAAAATATACATGCACTCGACACAGTAATACCCAGATTCATAAAGCAAGTTCTTAGAGATCTTCAAAGAGACTTAGATTTTCACACAATAATAGTGGAAGACTTTAACACCCCACTAACAATATTAGATAGATCACCAAAACAGAAAATTAACAAAGATTTCCAGAAACTCAACTCAGCTCCGGATCAAATGAATGTGATAGATATCTACAGTACACTTCACCCCAAAACAACAGAATATACGTTCTTCTTATCACCACATGGCACTTACTCTAAAACTGATCACATAATCAAAAGTAAAACACTCCACAGCAAATACAAAAGAACTGAAGTTATACCAGTCTCTTGGCCCACACTGCAATAAATTTAGAGATAAAGACTAAGAGAGTCACTCAAAACTATATAATATATGGAAATTAAACAGCCTGCTCTTGAATAACTTTTGAGTAAATAATGAAATTAAGGCAGAAATCAAGAAGTTCTTTGAAATTAATGAGAACAAAGATAGAATATACCAGAAGCTCTGGGACACAGGTATGGGGATGTTAAGAGGGAAATTCATAGCACTGAATACCCACATAAAAAAGTTAAAAAGATCTCAAGTTAACAACCTAAACTCAAAACTAAAAGAACTAGAGAATTGAGAGCAAACAAATCCAAAACCTAGCAGAAGACAAGAAATAACCATAATCAGAGCTGAACTAAAGGAGAAACAGATATGAAAAGCTACTCAAAAAATAAACAAATCCAGGATCGGTTTTTCTGAAATAATTAATAAAATAGATAGACTACTAGCTAGGCAAATAAAGAAGAAAAGAGAGAAGATTCAAATAAACACAATTAGAAATGACAAGGGGCATATTACCACTGAACAAACAGAAATACAAAGAACCGGTAGGCGGCAGCCAAGATGGCCAAATAGGAACAGCTCCAGTCTACAGCTCCCAGCGTGAGCGATGCAGAAGACGGGTGATTTCTGCGTTTCCATCTGAGGTACTGGTTTCATCTCACTAGGGAGTGCCAGACAGTGGGCGCAGGACAGTGGGTGCAGCGCACCGTGTGTGAGCTAAAGCAGAGTGAGGCATTGCCTCACTCGGGAAGTGTAAGGGGTCAGGGAGTTCCCTTTCCTAGTCAAAGAAAGGGGTGACAGATGGCACCTGGAAAATCGGGTCACTCCCACCCTAGTACTGCGCTTTTCCAACGGACTTAAAAAATGGCGCACCAGGAGATTATATCCCGCACATGGCTCGGAGGGTCCTACACCCACAGAGTCTTGCTGATTGCTAGCACAGCAGTCTGAGATCAAACTGCAAGGTGGCAGCGAGGCTAGGGGAGGGGCTCCTGCCATTGCCCAGGCTTGCTTAGGTAAACAAAGCAGCCGGGAAGCTCCAACTGGGTGGAGCCCACAACAGCTCAAGGAGGCCTGCCTGCCTCTGTAGGCTCCACCTCTGGGGGCAGGGCACAGACAAACAAAAAGACAGCAGTAACCTCTGCATACATAAATGTCCCTGTCTGACAGCTTTGAAGAGAGCAGTGCTTCTCCCAGCACACAGCTGGAGATCTGAGAACAGGCAGACTGCCTCCTCAAGTGGGTCCCCGACCCCTGACCCCCAAGCAGCCTAACTGGGAGGCACCCCCCAGTAGGGGCAGACTGACACCTCACATGGCCGAGTACTCCTCTGAGACAAAACTTCCAGAGGAACGATCAGACATCAGCATTCGCGGTTCACGAAAATCTGCTGTTCTGCAGCCACTGCTGCTGATACCCAGGCAAACAGGGTCTGGAGTGGACCTCTAGCAAACTCCAACAGACCTGCAGCTGAGGGTCCTGTCTGTTAGAAGGAAAACTAACAAACAGAAAGGACATCCACACCAAAAACCCATCTGTACATCACCATCATCAAAGACCAAAAGTAGATAAAACCACAAAGATGGGGAAAAAACAGAGCAGAAAAACTGGAAACTCTAAAAAGCAGAGCGCCTCTCCTCCTCCAAAGGAATGCAGTTCCTCACCAGCAATGGAACAAAGCTGGATGCAGAATGACTTTGACGAGTTGAGAGAAGAAGGCTTCAGACGATCAAACTACTCCAAGCTAGAGGAGGAAATTCAAACCAAAGGCAAAGAAGTTAAAAACTTTGAAAAAAATTTAGACGAATGTATAACTAGAATAACCAATACAGAGAAGTGCTTAAAGGAGCTGATGGAGATGAAAGCCAAGGCTTGAGAACTACGTGAAGAATGCAGAAGCCTCAGGAGCCAATGCGATCAACTGGAAGAAAGGGTATCAGCAATGGAAGATGAAATGAATGAAATGAAGTGAGAAGGGAAGTTTAGAGAAAAAAGAATAAAAAGAAACGAACAAAGCCTCCAAGAAATATGGGACTATGTGAAAAGACCAAATCTACGTCTGATTGGTGTACCTGAAAGTGATGGAGAGAATGGAACAAGTTGGAAAACACTCTGCAGGATATTATCCAGGAGAATTTCCCCAATCTAGCAAGGCAGGCCAACATTCAGATTCAGGAAATACAGAGAACACCGCAAAGATACTCCTCAAGAAGAGCAACTCCAAGACACATAATTGTCAGATTCACCAAAGTTGAAATGAAGGAAAAAATGTTAAGGGCAGCCAGAGAGAAAGGTCGGGTTACCCACAAAGGGAAGTCCATTAGACTAACAGTGGATCTCTCGGCAGAAACTCTACAAGCCAGAAGAGAGTGGGGGCCAATATTCAACATTCTTAAAGAAAAGAATTTTCAACCCAGAATTTCATATCCAGCCAAACTAAGCTTCATAAGTGAAGGAGAAATAAAATCCTTTACAGACAAGCAAATGCTGAGAGATTTTGTCACCACCAGGCCTGCCCTAAAAGAGCTCCTGAAGGAAGCACTAAACATGGAAAGGAACAATCGGTACCAGCCACTGCAAAGTCATGCCAAATTGTAAAGACCATCGAGCCTAGGAAGAAACTGCATCAACTAACGAGCAAAATAACCAGCTAACATCAAATGACAGGATCAAATTCACACATAACAATATTAACTTTAAATGTAAATGGACTAAATGCTCCAATTAAAAGACACAGACTGGCAAATTGGATAAAGAGTCAAGACCCATCAGTGTGCTGTATTCAGGAAACCCATCTCACGTGCAGAGACACACATAGGCTCAGAATGAAAGGATGGAGGAAGATCTACCAAGCAAATGGAAAACAAAAAAAGGCAGGGGTTGCAATCCTAGTCTCTGATAAAACAGACTTTAAACCAACAAAGACCAAAAGAGACAAAGAAGGCCATTACATAATGGTAAAGGGATCAATTCAACAAGAAGAGCTAACTATCCTAAATATATATGCACCCAATACAGGAGCACCCAGTTTCATAAAGCAAGTCCTGAGTGACCTACAAAGAGACTTAGACTCCCACACAATAATAATGGGAGACTTTAACACCCCACTGTCAACATTAGACACATCAGCGAGACAGAGAGTTAACAAGGATACCCAGGAATTGAACTCAGCTCTGCACCAAGCAGACCTAATAGACATCTACAGAACTCTCCACCCCATATCAACAGAATATACATTTTTTTCAGCACCACACCACACCTATTCCAAAATTGACCACATAGTTGGAAGTAAAGCTCTCCTCAGCAAATGTAAAAGAACAGAAATTATAACAAACTGTCTCTCAGACCACAGTGCAATCAAACTAGAACTCAGGATTAAGAAACTCACTCAAAACCACTCAACTACATGGAAACTGAACAACCTGCTCCTGAGTGACTACTGGGTACATAACGAAATGAAGGCAGAAATAAAGATGTTCTTTGAAACCAATGAGAACAAAGACACAACATACCAGAATCTCTGGGACACATTCAAAGCAGTGTGTAGAGGGAAATTTATAGCACTAAATGCCCACAAGAGAAAGCAGGAAAGATCCAAAATTGACACCCTAACATCACAATTAAAAGAACTAGAAAATCAAGAGCAAACACATTCAAAAGCTAACAGAAGGCAAGAAATAACTAAAATCAGAGCAGAACTGAAGGAAATAGAGACACAAAAAAACCTTCAAAAAATTAATGAATCCAGGAGCTGGCTTTTTGAAAGGATCAACAAAATTGATAGACCGCTAGCAAGACTAATAAAGAAAAAAAGAGAGAAGAATCAAATAGATGCAATAAAAAATGATAAAGGGGATATCACCACCGATCCCACAGAAATACAAACTACCATCAGAGAATACTACAAACACCTCTACGCAAATAAACTAGAAAATCTAGAAGAAATGGACAAATTCCTTGACACATACACCCTCCCAAGACTAAACCAGGAAGAAGTTGAATCTCTGAATAGACCAATAACAGGATCTGAAATTGTGGCAATAATCAATAGCTTACCAACCAAAAAGAGTCCAGGACCAGATGGATTCACAGCCGAATTCTACCAGAGGTACAAGGAGGAATTGGAACCATTCTTTCTGAAACTATTCCAATCAATAGAAAAAGAGGGAATCCTCCCTAACTCGTTTTATGAGGCCAGCATCATCCTGATACCAAAGCCGGGCAGAGACACAACCAAAAAGAGAATTTTAGACCAATATCCTTGATGAACATTGATGCAAAAATCCTCAATAAAATACTGGCAAACTGAATCCAGCAGCACATCAAAAAACTTATCCACCATGATCAAGAGGGCTTCATCCCTGGGATGCAAGGCTGGTTCAATATATGCAAATCAATAAATGTAATCCAGCATATAAACAGAAGCAAAGACAAAAACCACATGATTATCTCAATAGATGCAGAAAAGGGCTTTGACAAAATTCAACAACCCTTCATGCTAAAAACTCTCAATAAATTAGGTATTGATGGGATGTATCTCAAAATAATAAGAGCTATCTATGACAAACCCACAGCCAATATCATACCGAATGGGCAAAAACTGGAAGCGTTCTCTTTGAAAACTGTCACAAGACAGGGATGCCCTCTCTCACCACTCCTATTCAACATAGTGTTGGAAGTTCTGGCCAGGGCAATTAGGCAGGAGAAGGAAATAAAGGGTATTCAATTAGGAAAAGAGGAAGTCAAATTATCCCTGTTTGCAGATGACATGATTGTATATCTAGAAAACCCCATTGTCTCAGCCCAAAATCTCCTTAAGCTGATAAGCAACTTCAGCAGTCTCAGGATACAAAATCAATGTACAAAAATCACAAGCATTCTTATACACCAATAACAGACAAACAGAGAGCCAAATCATGAGTGAACTCCCATTCACAATTGCTTCAAAGAGAATAAAATACCTAGGAATCCAACTTACAAGGGACGTGAAGGACCTCTTCAAGGAGAACTACAAACCACTGCTCAATGAAATAAAAGAGGATACAAAGAAATGGAAGAACATTCCATGCTCATGGGTAGGAAGAATCAATATCGTGAAAATGGCCATACTGCCCAAGGTAATTTACAGATTCAATGCCATCCCCATCAAGCTACCAATGACTTTCTTCACAGAATCAGAAAAAACTACTTTAAAGTTGATATGGAACCAAAAAAGAGCCCGCATCGCCAAGTCAATCCTAAGCCAAAAGAACAAAGCTGGAGGCATCACGCTACCTGACTTCAAACTATACTACAAGTCTACAGTAACCAAAACAGCATGGTACTGCTAGCAAAACAGAGATATAGATCAATGGAACAGAACAGAGTCTTCAGAAATAAAGCCGCATATCTACAACTATCTGATCTTTGACAAACCTGAGAAAAATAAGCAATGGGGAAAGGATTCCCTATTCAATAAATGGTGCTGGGAAAACTGGCTAGCCATATGTAGAAAGCTGAAACTGGATCCCTTCCTTACACCTCATACAAAAATTAATTCAAGATGGATTAAAGACTTAAACGTTAGACCTAAAGCCATAAAAACCCTAGAAGAAAACCTAGGCATTACCATTCAGGACATAGGCATGGGCAAGGACTTCATGTCTAAAACACCAAAAGCAATGGCAACAAAAGCCAAAATTGACAAATGGGATCTAATTAAACTAAAGAGCTTCTGCACAGCAAAAGAAACTACCATCAGAGTGAACAGGCAACCTACAAAATGGGAGAAAATTTTTGCAACCTACTCATCTGACAAAGGGCTAATTTCCAGAATCTACAATGAACTCAAACAAATTTACAAGAAAAAAACAAACAACCCCATCAAAAAGTGGGCAAAGGACATGAACAGACACTTCTCAAAAGAAGACATTTATACAGCCAACAGACACATGAAAAAATGCTCATCATCACTGGCCATCAGAGAAATGCAAATCAAAACCACAATGAGATACCATCTCACACCAGTTAGAATGGCAATCATTAAAAAGTCAGGAAACCACAGGTGCTGGAGAGGATATGGAGAAATAGGAACACTTTCACACTGTTGGTGGGACTGTAAACTAGTTCAACCCTTGTGTAAGTCAGTGTGGCGATTCCTCAGGGATCTAGAACTAGAAATACCATTTGACCCAGCCATCCCATTAGTGGGTACGTACCCAAAGGACTATAAATCATGCTGCTATAAAGACACATGCACACGTATGTTTATTGCGGCACTATTCACGATAGCAAAGATTTGGAACCAACCCAAATGTCCAACAATGATAGACTGGATTAAGAAAATGTGGCACATATACACCATGGAATACAATGCAGCCATAAAAAAGGATGAGTTCATGCCCTTTGTGGGGACATGGATGAAGCTGGAAACCATCATTCTCAGCAAACTATCACAAGGACAAAAAACCAAACACTGCATGTTCTCACTCATAGGTGGGAATTGAACAATGAGAACACATGGACACAGGAAGGGGAACATCACACTCTGGGGACTGTTGTGGGGTGGGGTTAGGGGGGAGGGGGGATGGATAGCATTAGGAGATATACCTAATGCTAAATGACGAGTTAATGGGTGCAGCACACCAGCATGGCACATGTATACATATGTAACTAACCCGCACATTGTGCATATGTACCCTAAAACTTAAAGTATAATAATAATAAAATAAAAAAAACAAAGAACCATCATAGAATATTATAAACACTTGTATGCACATAAACTAGAAAATCTAGAAGAAATGTATAAATTCTTGGACACACATACCCTCCCAAGACTGAACCAGGAATAAATTGAATCTCTAATCAGACCAATAATGAGATCTGAAGATGAGGCAGTAATAAATAGCCTAGCAAACAAACAAAGCCCAGGACCAGATGGATTCACAGCTGAATTCTACCTGATGGACAAAGAAGAGCTGGTAATATTCATACTGAAACTATTCTAAAAAATTGAGGAGGGGCTCCTTCTTAACTCATTCTACGAGGCCTGCATTATCCTGTTACCAAAACCTAGCAGATATACAATAATAAAATAAAATTTCAGGCCAATATTTATATTATCTATTTTATTTTATTTTTTTACTTTATTAATTTATTTTATTTCTATAGCTTTTGGGGAAACAGGTGGTGTTTGGTTACATGAATAAATTCTATAGTGATTTGAGATTTTGGTGCAGTCATCACCCTAGCAGTATACACTGTACCCAATTTGTAGTGTTTTATCCCTCCCACTCTTTCCCCCAAGTTCCCAAAGTCCATTGCATCACTCTTACATCTTTGCATCCTCATAGCTTAGCTCCCACTTATGAGTAAGAATGTATGGTTTGGTTTTTCATTTCTGAGTTACTTCAGTTAGAATAATTGTCTCCAATTCCATCCAGGTTGCTGAAAATGCCATTAGTTTGTTCCTTTTTGTGACTGTATAGTATTCCATGGCATATATATAAATATATATAAATATATATTTATATATATATAAATATATATTTATATATATATAAATATATATAAATATATATTTATATATATTTATAAATATATATATTTATATATATATTTATATATATATATTTCACAATTTCTTTATCCACTCATTGATTGATGGGCAGTTGGGCTGGTTCTATAATTTTGCAATTGTGTGTGCTGCTATAAACATGCATCGCCAAGTATCTTTTTTGTATAATTACTTATTTTCCTCTGGATGAATATCCAGTAGTGGGATTGCTGGATCATTCTACTTTTAGTTCTTTAAGGAATCTCCCCCATTGATTAGCCAAGAAAAGAAGAGAGAAGATCCAAATAAGCTCAAATAGAAGCAAACAGGAGATAGTACAATCGACACAACAGAAATGCAAAAGATCATTCAAGGATACTATAAACACCTTTGTGCACATACACTAGAAAACCTAGAGGAGATGGATAAATTCCTGGAAAAATACAACCCTCCTAGCTTAAAGCAGTGATAATTAGAAACCCTGAAGAAACCAATAACAAGCAGAGAGATTGAAATGGTAATTTAAAAAAATTGCCAACAAAAAAAAGTCCAGGACCAGATGGATTCACAGCTGAATTCTATCAGACATTCAAAGAAAAATTGGTACCAATCCTATTGACACTATTCCAAAAGATAGAGAAAGAGAGAATCTTCTCTTAATTATTCTATTAAGCCAATATCACCCTAATACCAAAACCAGGAAAGGACATAACAACAACAACATCAACAACAACAATACAGACCAATATCCCTGATTTATATAGAGGCAAACATCCTTAAAAAATTAGCTAATTGAATCCAACAACATATCAGAAAGATAATCCACAATGATCAAGTGGGATTCATAGCGGGGATGCAGGGATGGTTTAACATATGCAAGTCAATACATGTGATACACCAAATAAATGTAATTAAAAACAAAAATCACA
Organism: Homo sapiens; assembly: GCF_000001405.40. Classification (NCBI taxonomy): domain Eukaryota; kingdom Metazoa; phylum Chordata; class Mammalia; order Primates; family Hominidae; genus Homo; species Homo sapiens. The sequence goes on along the minus strand of NC_000023.11, from coordinate 88,779,653 downwards.
TGGTCATCTCCATAGACGCACAAAAAGCATTCTACAAAATCCAGCATCCCTTTATGATTAAAACCCTCAACAAAATTGGCATAGAAAGGACATACATTAATACAGTAAAAGTCATCTATGACAAACCCACAGCCAACATAATACTGAATGGGAAATAGTTGAAAGCATTCCCTCTGATAACTGGAACAAGACAAGGATGCCCACTACTTCTATCCAACATAGTACTGAAAGTCCTAGCCAGGGAACTCAGACAAGAGAAAGAAATAAAGGGCATCCTAATCAGTTAAGAAAAAGTGAAAGTGTTTCTGTTTTCTGATGATACGATCGTATACCTAGAGAACCCTAAAGACTCCTCCAAGAAGCTCCTGGAAATGATAAATAATTTCAGCAAAGTTTCAGTATACAAAATTAATGTGCACAGATCAATAGCTCTGCTATACCCAAACAGCTACCAAGCAGAGAATTAAATGAATAACTTAACCCCTTTTACAATAGCTGCAAAAATAATAACACTTAGAAATACGCCTAACCTATGAGGTGAAAGACCTGTACAAAGAAAACTACAAAACACTGCTGAAAGAAATTATAGATGACACAACCAAATGGAAACATATCTCAAGCTCACTGATGGGTGGAATCAATATTGTGAAAATGACCATACTGTCAAAAGCAATCTACAAATTCAATGCAATTCCCATTAAAACACCACTGTCATTCCTCATAGAACTAGAAAAAGCAATTCTAAAATTCATATGGAACCAAAAAGAGCCCACATATCCAAAGTAAGACTAAGCAAAAAGAACAAATCTAGAGGCATAACATTACCTGACTTTGTATTATAAGGCCATAGTCACCAAAAAAACAACATGGTACTGATATCAAAAGTCACATAGACCAATAGAACAGAAGAGAGAACCCAGAAATAATCCCAAATGCTTACAGCCAACTGATCTTGGACAAAACAAACAATAACATAAAGTGGGAAAAAGACACCATAATCAACAACTACTGGTGGGATAATTGGCAAGCCACATGTAAAAGAATGAAACCGGGTCCTTATCTCTCACCTTATACAAAATCAACTCAAGATGGATCAAGGCCTTAAATCTAAGACTTGAAACCATAAAAATTCTAGAAGTTATCATCAGAAAAACTTTTCTAGACATTGGTTTAGGCAAAGCCTTCATGACCAAGAATCTAAAAGCAAATGCAACAAAAAATATGATAAATAGGTGGGATTTAATTAAACTAAAAAGTTTCTGCACAGCAAAAGAAACAATCAGCAGAGTAAACAGACAACCCATAGAGTGGGAGAACATCTTCACAATCTATACATCTGACAAAGAACTAATATTCAGAATCTACAAGGACCTCAAACAAATTAGCAAGAAAAAAATAAACAATCCCCTAAAAAAAAAATGGCTAAGGACATGAATAGACAACTCTCAAAAGAAGATATAAAAATGGCCAGCAAACCTATGAAAACATGTTCAACATCATAATGATCAGGGAAATGAAAATCAAAACCACAATGCAATACCACCTTGCTCCTGCAAGAATGGCCATAATCAAAAAAATAAAAAAATAATATATGTTGGCAGTGATGTGGTGAAAAGGGGACACTTTTACACTGGTGGCAGGCCAATATTCTTAATGAATATCAATGCAAAAGTCTTCACAAGAATACTGGAAAACCAAATACAGGAGCACATCAAAGGGCTTATCCACCATGATCAAATAGGCTTTGTTTCCGGGATGCAAGGTCAATTAAATGTATGCAAATCAATAAATGTGATTCATCACATAAACAGAAGCAAAGACAAAAACCACATGATTATCTCAATCGATGCAGAATGGCTTTTGATAAAATTCAATATCCCTTCATGGTAAAAACTTTCAATAAACTAGTTATTGAAGGAACATACCTCAAAATAATAAGAGCCATATATGACAAACCCACAGCAAACATCATACTGAACCAGAAAAAGCTTAAAGCATTCCTGTGGAAAACCGGCACAATAATAAGATGTCCTCTCTCACCACTCCTCTTCAACATAGTATAGGAACTTCTGGCCAGGGCAATCGGGCAAGAGTAAGAAATAAAGAGCATTCTAATAGTAAGAGAGAAATTCAAACTATCTCTGTTTGCAGATGCCATTATCTTATATCGAGCAAACCCCATGGTCTCAGCCCAAAAGCTTTCTTTCTTTCTTTCTTTCTTTCTTTCTTTCTTTCTTTCTTTCTTTCTTTCTTTCTTTCTTTCTTTCTTTCTTTCTTTCTTTCTTTCTTTATTTTTGAGACAGTGTCTCTCTCTGTCATCCAGGCTGGAGTGCAGTGGTGCAATCTTGGCTCACTGCAACCTCCACTTCCAGGGTTCAAGGATTCTCCTGCCTCAGCCTCCTGAGTAGTTGGGATTACAGGTACCTGCCACCATGCCCGGCTAATTTTTGTATTTTTAGTAGAAACGGGGTTCCACCATGTTGGCCAGACTGGCCTGGAACTCCTGACCCCAAGTGATCCACCTGCCTTGGCCTCCCAAAGTGCTGGGATTACAGGCATGAGCCACTGCACTGGGCCCCCAAAGCATCTTAAGCTGATAAGGAACTTTGGCAAAGTCTCAGGATACAAAATCAATGTGCAAAAATCACTAACCACCAACAACAGTGAAGTCAAGAGCCAAATGAGGAACAAACTCCTATTCATGATTCCCACAAAAAAGAATAAAATACCTAAAAATACAGCTAATACAGAAGTTGAAAGATCTCTACAAATAGAACTACAAACCACTGCTCAGAGAAATCAGAGATGACACAAACAAATAGAAAAATATTCCATGCTCATGGATAGAAGGAATCAATGTCGTTAAAACAGCCATACTGCCCAAAGCAATTCATAGATTCAAAGCTATTGCCATGAAACTACCACTGACATTCTTCACAGACATAGACAAAACTATTTTTAAATTCATATGAAATCAAAAAAGAGCCTGTACAGCCAAGACAATCCTAAACAAAAAGAACAAAGCTGGAGGCATCACATCACCCAACTTCAAATTATACTACAGGGCTACAGGAACTGAAACAGCCTGGTACTGGTACAAGCACAGACACATAGACCAATGGAACAGAAATAAGGGAATCCAGAAATAAGACTGCATATCTACAACTATCTGATCTTCAACAAACCTGACAAAATAAGCAATGGGGAAAGGATTCCCTATTCAATAAATGGTGCTGGGAATAATTAGCTAGCCACATGCAGAGAATTGAATCTGGACCACTTCCTTACGCCATATACAAAAATTAACTCAAGATGGATTAAATACTTAAATGTAAAACCCCAAACTATAAGAACTCTGGAAGACAACCTAGGAAATACCATTCAGGACACAGGCACATGCTACAATTTCATGACAAAGATGCCAAATGCTGTTGCAACAGAAGCAAACATTGACAAATGGGATCTAATTAAACAAAAGAGATTCTGCACAGCAAAAGAAACTATCAACAGAGTAGACAACCTACAGAATGGGAGAAAATTTTTGCAAACTATGTATGTGACAAAGGTCTAATATCCAGCATCTATAAGGAACTTAAAGAAATTTACAAGAATAAAACAAACAACCCTGTTAAAAAAGTGGGCAAAGGACATGAACAGACACTTATCAAAAAAAGACATATATACGGCCAATAATCAAATGAAGAAAAGCTCGACTTTACTGATCATTAGAGAAATGCAAATCAAAACCACAATGAGATACCATCTCACACCAATCAGAATGGCGATTATTAAAAGCCAAAAAATAACCGATGCTGGTGAGGTTGTGTAGAAAAAGGAATGCTCATATGCTGTTGGTGGGAGTATAAATTAGTCAACCATTGTGGAAGACAGTATGGCAATTTCTCAAAGACCTAAAGACAGAAATACCATTAGACACAGCAATTCCATCACTGGGTATATACTCAAAGGCATATATATCATACTGTTATAAAGACACACACACACATCTGTATGTTCATTGTGGCACTATTCACAATAGTAAAGACATGGAATCAACCTAAATGTCCATCAATGATAGACTGGATAAAGAGAATGTGGTGCATATACACCATGTAATACTATGCAGCCATATAGAAAAATGAAATCATGTCCTTTGCAGAGACATGGATAGAGCTGGAGGCCATTATCCTTAGCAAACTAAAGCAGGAACAGAAAACCAAATATGGCATGTTCTCAATTATAAGTGGGAGCTAAATGATGAAAACACATAGACACATAGAGGGGAACAACACACACTGGGGCCTATCAAAGGGTGGAAAGTGGGAGGAGGGAGAGGATCAGGAAAAATAACTAATGGATACTAGGCTTAATAGCTGAGTGATGAAATAACCTGTACTCAAACCCCCATGACACACGTTTACCTATGTAACAAATCTTCATATTCTGCACGTGTACCCCTAAACTTAAAAGTTATAAAAAAGTTTATCCATGTTCTTACATATTGCAGAATTTTCTTTTCTAGTGCTGAATAGTTTTCCATTTTATGTATATATTGGATTCTTTATTCTTCTCTTGATGGACATTTAGGGTCTTTCTATATCTTGGCTATTATAAATAGAAGTGCAATAAATATGAGGTGTTAAGTATCTTTCTAAAATACCAGAAACGGAATTCCTGGATAATATGTTGAGGAGCCTCCATATGATTTTTCATATTGGCTGTACCATTTTGCATGTTAACCAACAGTGTGCAAGTGTTCCAATTCTTCTACACTTCATCAACATTGATCTTTTTTTAGTAACCTGTATTATTAATTCATTTTGCTCAAATAAACAGAATAACAGCCTATCTTCATTATATGACGTCTTCTACTTTTGTAACAAGAATGTCATTTTGAAGCTACTAGTGAGGAGCTTTTGATGGCCAAGAGTTCATAAATAAACAAAAATCATGCTAAATATTGTTATTGCTTATCTTTCCTTTTTAATTATATATGCATTCATTGAAATTTATTTCAGTTCTCCATGAAGAAAACTCTTTGGTATTGTCCTTGGCACAAGTTTGCTAGTAATGAATTATCTCTCTCTTTTTTTGCTTTTATTTATTTATTTTTATTTATATTTTTGTTGTTGTTGTTGAGACAGAGTCTCTCCCTGCTGCCAAGGCTGGAGTGTGGTGGTGTGATCTAGGCTCACTGCAACCTCTGCCTTCTGTGTACAAGCGATTCTCGTGATTCAGCCACCTGAGTAGCTGAGAGTACAGGCACATGCCACCACACTCAGCTAATTTTTGTATTTTTAGTAGAGATAGGGCCAACTCCTGGCCTGAAGTGATCCACCCACCTTGGCCTCCCAAAGTGCTGGGATTACAGCATGAACCACCACTCTTGGCCTCTTTTTTTTTTTTTTTTTTTTTTTGCTTTTAAATGCCATTATTTCACTTTCATTTTTATTTTATATAAATTTTTATTTTTAATTTAAGACAGAATGTTGTGAAGTTACACTGAGTGGTCCTATGCACCTTTCATTAAGCTTCCTTCAAAGAAAATGTTTTACTATACTATAGTACATTGTCAAAACCAGGACGCTGACTTTGGCAAAATACTATTACCTCAGGTACAGACCTTATTTAGGTATTACTATTGTTTATATGCAATCGTGTGTGTGTGTGTGTGTGTGTGTGTGTGTGTAGGTCTCAAGTGTGTAGACTTACTTTACTATCACCACTATTCACAACTCTTCCATCATCACAATTAAAGACCCCAGTTGTAACCCTTAATAGTCACTCTTTCCACAACCTTAATCCCTGGAAGCTACTGATCTGTTGTTCATCACTAAAATGTAGCCACTTCAACAATATTATTTAAATAGAATAATAGAGTATGCAATCATCTGTGATTTCCTTTGATACATTTAGCATAATGTCCTTGAGATCCATTGTGTACCAATAATCTGCCCTTTTATGTTGCAGAATGGAATTCCATTGTACTGATGTCCAATTTTTTAATCTATTTGCTCATTACAGGCCATATATGTTGTTGCCTGTATCTGGCTATTACAAATAAAACTTTTATAAATCTTAGTTAACAGGTTTTTTGGTGTGAAAATAAGTTTGCATTTTTCCGGGGTAAACTCCAAGGCCAGTAGGATTACTTTTATGGTAGTTGCATGTATAATATATATATACATATATGTATATAAATTCCCTCTCCCCACTCTATCACAGCCATATATATATAACTTTTAATATGTATTCACAGTAGTTGTACCATGTTACATTCCCACTAGCAATATATAAAAGATCCTGAATCCTTCCTTCCATTTGATAGTGTCAGTGTTTTTTTTTTAAACTTTAAAAATATGTAGTGGTATCTCATCATAATTTTAATTTGCATTTGTTTAATAACTAATAATGCTGAACATTGTTCCACATGATTGTGATATATATTTTTATTCTGTGAAGTGATTAAACTTTAAAAATTTTCTAATTGCTTTGATTTTTACCTTAGTGAGTTATTTATATTGAATATCCTGGATATGAGTACTTCATCAAACATGTGATTTGGAAATAGTCTCCCTAATTTCTGGCTTGTGTTTTTCTCCACTCAACAGTTTTTGTTTTGTTTTGCAAAGCACAACTTTTGAATTTTTATAAACTCTAATTTATGAATTTATGGATTATGCATTTGACATCATATCTAAAAACTATTTGCCTAACTCTATGTCACAAATATTTTGTCTTTTATTATTTTTAATTTAATTTTTACCGTACAGTCACCACTATCTAATTCAAGAACATTTTCATCATGGCAAAAAGAAGCACTATATCCATTAGCAATTCCTTCCCATTCTACCTCCATCCTAGCTTTTTATGGGCAGAGTTGTGTCACCCCCAAAATTTATATGTTGAAGCCCTAATCCCCAGTAACTCAGAATGTGACTATATTTGGTGATAGAGCCTTTGAAGAAGTAATTAATGTTAAATGAATTGATTAGGGTGACCCATAAGCTAATATGACTAGTGTCATTTTAAGAACAGAAGATTACAATACAGATGCACGCATAAAACTTCACATGGACCACATGACAGATTTTGTGTGACATTGATAACCATGAGAGAATGCACAGCAAGATGGTGGTCATCTGCAAGCTGAGCAAGGAAACCTCAAAAGAAACCAAACCAGCCAAGAATTTGACTTAGATTTCTAGTCTGTAGGCAGTGTAAGAAAATGTTTTAAGTCATTCATTCTGTGGCGATTTGTTAAAGAAGCATGAGCAAAGTAATACATAGTCTCTAGCAATGATTTATCTGCATTCTGTCTCATACATATGTATGTATAATATATATATATATACACATATGTATATAAATTTGTCTCTCTATATATGTCTCTCTATATATATGTATGTGTGTGTGTATATATATATATATATACACATATGTATACAAATTTGTCTCAATAAATTTGTCAGTTATGGGCATTCCATAAAAATGAGATCATATAATACATGGCTTTTTGTGTCTGGCTTTAAGTGTATAAGTCATTTGCCTCTTTTGTTAGGTTTATTTCTAAATGTTTTATTTTTGATGTTATAGAATTTTAAAATTATTTTAACTATTTATTGTTAGTATATAGAACTAAGTAAGTTCTGTGTCTTGATTTTGTTTCCTACAACTTAACTGAATTTTTATATTAGTTCAAACAGTTTTTGTTATTTTTGCTATTATGTAACCTTTAGGGTTTTATAAATATAAAATCCTGCCATATATGAACAGAGATAATGTCACTTTTTTCTTTCCAATATGGATACATTTTATTTCTTTTTCCCCGAATTGCTCTGGCTAGGACTTCCACTTCTATGTTGAACAGAAATAGCAAAAATAAAAAATCACAAATCAAATTACAAGAAGGCTGTTTTTTCTATTTTCCAATAGTTTACCTTTACTGGAAGTCTTCATACTGTTGCATGAATTCTTGTTACTGTATAGTGTCCTTTTATATCAACTCAAAGTACTTTATTCTTTACTGTAGGGCATGACTACTGGTAATGCTTGCTCAGATTTTATTTACTGGGGAATTTCTTTATTTCTCCATTATTTATGAAGAAAAGTTTTACTAAATGTAGAATTATTGGTTGACATTTTTTTCAACATTTAAATATATCTCACTGCTCTCGGGCTTCCAAGCTTTCTGCTGGAAAATCAGATGGAATTTTTATTGTTAATTCCTTTTAAGTTATCAGTCACTTTACTCTTGATGTTTTCAATATTCTGTTTTTATGTTTGGCTTTCAGCAATTTAATTATAATGCGTTTCAGTGTGGGTCTCTTTGAGTTTATCCTACTTGTGTTGAGCTTTTCAAATTTGTAGATTTATGTTGTTTCTTAAATTAGTCAAGTTTTTGGCCATTGTTTTTTCAAGTAATCTTTCTGTTCCTTTCTCATTTTCCTCATTCATAAAACTTTTATAATATTGCTCTTCTTGACAGTATCCCATAAGTCTTTTAGGCTGTTATGAAGTGAATTGTGTCCATTCCAAAAATTAATATGTTGAAGCACAAAGTCTTAATGTGACTATATTTGGAAATCAAATCTTTAAAAAGGAGGTAATTCATGTTAAATGTAGTAATAAGCATGGGACCTTTTATGCTTTGCCCGCATGTTGGCCTTCTGGGTTCCCTCTCCCTGAGCCCAAACCTAGCCAACAAGTTTCAGGTTTGGGAAATTAACTTTCTAGTTTGGAGGATGCATTTCAGGTGAGTGTCCCGTACTACGGAGACACAATTACCTATTAGTGAAGAGAGGACGGAAAAGAAGAGAAGAAAAAGTGCCTTTTAAAGGATTCCCAGGGGTTTAGGATGCATTCTAAAGGGGTACAGACTGAAGATGAATGGCTACCCAGCTAGAAAGAGGACAGCAGGCATCACTGGTTCCATTCTCAGATACCCGGGGTAAGTGAGGTAGAGAGAGAAGAGCATTCTCTTTCCCCCTTCCATTCTTGCAACCCTGAGTCCTGGTGACCCTGGCAGGCACCACCATGAGTGCCAAAGCAGCTTGTACCCATGAAGCAGGGAGGGGCTAGAAAAGAGGAATTATCCACTCTCGCCTATGTCTCTTTCCCACCTACTGTCAGTAACCTTAGAGTTCCTTAGACCTTATTTATGCCATGGATACTAACGTGGCCTGTATCCAAGAAACAGGAAGCTCGGGCTTGGCTTAATTGGAGGGAATTAGCCACACTCACCTGCGCTGTGCCTTTTAACCTCTGTTGTCATTTGCCTCTGGATTCCTTACATCCAATTTTATTTCCTAGGACTTTGACCCGAAGCTTGGAATTGAGTCTGGGACAAAAATGTATCTCGGGGGAGGGGGTTGCATGGATTCCTTATCATAAGCCGAATGTTAAGGTGAAACTGTGCAACTGAGTTCTCTTCCAATGAGAGAGAGGAAAGGATGTCATGTGACACACCCAGATAACTTGTAGCTATAGTTATGCTTGCTAGGATCTGGGTGCATGGTGCTTGGCTTTGGTTAGTTCCCTTGGTCTTACTTACCCAAAAAGGAAACCTCTGGATCACGGGTACCCTATTTATTCCATCACCTGGCAGGATTTGCAGGATAAATTCTCAGAAGTAGAATATTGATCCAGATTTCTACATTACCCATTCCTCTTGTTCTTTCTGAGCTGCAGCCAGGGATTGCTGGTTGGTTTACAGGAGCAAGCAGGGTTAGTTTAAAATGTAGGTGAAAACATAAAAACAATGAATGAGTTTAGAATTTAATCACAAAAATATGTTTTGAAACATGATTTCTCTCTCTCCAGTCCTGTTTGTTAAAAAATAAACCAATTATGATAGGGCTGAGTGGTTTGCAAAATACACTTTAGTTTTATACTTGGCCTGATTATTTGCATAAAGTGCAGCAAGAATAACTATTTGTATATAGGCCTTTCGGACTGGCTTTGATGGAAGTGTGCTCCACAAAGAATTATAGATAAGACCTTTTAAAACCAAGCCCAGCCATGGGTTACATCCTCAAATACCTATGAGTTAGGTGATCCTCTCCTCTTATGATCCCAAGATAAACTTGGAGCTCCTAGAGCTGTTAGAAAGTGACATTCTTTACTAACCACAGGTCAGAAACCCTGTACAGGGACTGCATAGACAAGGTTATGAGTCCAGTTTCCCCACCGGACTTTTATTGGCTCTGTTGACTCCTTAAAGGGAAGCATACCCCTCCAGTTAAAGCCTTGGTAAAATTAACAGTTTTTCCAATTGTGTTCTGTTGCAAAAAAAAACTGAATTCTTATTGCACTGATGCAAACAGCTATATTGCCATAGGAATACTCACATATAGTTTCCAAATTCTAGAGGAACCAGGCAGAGAGAAACAAAAATGCTTCAAATTTTGATCATAGGGGTATAGCTTGCTGCATTTTCCTTATTAATAGTCATGTTGAGCATTTTTTTATACCTTGTGGCTATTTATAAGTCTTGTTTTGAGAAATGTCTATTCAGGTATTCTATCCATTTTTTAAATGAGATTATTATTATTATTTAATTATTATTGCTATTGACCTGTTTGAGTTACTTATATATTCTGGTTATTACTCCCTTGTTGGATGGATAGTTTGTAAATATTTTCTACCATTCTATTGGTTATCTTTTCACTTTGTTAATTGTTTCCAGTCCTAAACAGAAGCTCTTTAGCATAATGTAATCCCATTTGTCTATATTTTGCTTTAGTTTCCTGTGCTTTTGAGATCTTATTCAAATCATAGTTATTCAGATCATTGTCCTGTAGTTTTTCCTGAATGTTATCTTCTAGTAGTTTCATAACTTGAAGTCTAACATTTACAGCTTTAATCCATTTTAATTGATTTTTTGCATAGGTACAATATGGATAACTAGTTTTATTCTTCTACATATGAATATCCAGGCCTTCCAGCACCATTTATTTAAAAGATTGTCTTTTTCCCAATGTGTGTTCCTGGCAACTTTGTCAAAAATGAGTTGGCTGAGTGTGGATTTATTTCTGAGTTCTTTATTCTGTTTCATTAGTCTATGTGTCTATTTTTTATGCCAACACAATGCTTTGTCTAGTTTTGGTTACTATAGCTTTGTAGAATAATATTAAATCGGATAGTATAATGCCACTAACGTTTTGGTGGGGTCTTAGAGTTGCTTGGATATTCATGGTCTTTCATAGTTTCACACGCATATTAGGATTTTCTTTTTATTATGTAGAATGTCATTGGTATTTTGATAAGTATTACATTAAATCTGTAGATTGCTTTGGGGTAGTATAGTCATTTTGACAAAATTAATTTTTCCAATCCATAATCATGGAAAAACCTTTCAGTTTTTTGTATGTCCTTTTTAATTTCTGGTATTAGTGTTTTATAGTTTTCTTTGCAGAGATCTTTCACTTCATTTGTTAAATTTATTCCTAGATATTTTATTTGTGTGTGTGTGTGCCTATCTGAAAGTGGACTGATTTATCAAATTTTTTTGGATTTAATGCTGTTAACATATAGAAATGCCATGGATTTCATATTCTACAACTTACCGGAATTCATTTTACAGTTCTGAGATTTTTGTGGTGAAATCTAGATTTCTCTCTATATAAAATTATGTTGTCAACAAGCAAGGATAATTTGACATTTTTTTTCCTATTTAGAGGCCATTTATTACTATCCTTTGCCTAATTGCTCTGGTTAGGACTCCTAGTACTATGTTGAATAAAAGTAGTAAAGTAGCTATCTTTGTCTTATTGCAGATCTTAGTTGAAAGTATTTCAGTTTTTCACCATTCAGTTTAATTTCAGCTGTAAATTTGTCATAAATGACATTTATCATTTTGTTTCTTCTAAACCCAATTTTTAAGTTTTTATCATGGGGGAGTTTAATTTTACTGAATGCTTTTCAAGCATCTGTTGAAATAATTATATAGTCTTTCTTCTTGATTCTGTTGATGTAATCTATCATGTTTGTAGATTTGCATGTGTTGAACCATTTCTACATCCATGGAATAAATTCTACTCAAACATGGTGAGTGATCTTATAAATGAGTTGTTGAATTCAGTTGTCTAGTATTTTGTTGAAGACTTGCGTCTATTTTTCATCAGCGATATTGGGCTTTTGTTTTCTTTATTTGTAGTATATTTGTCTAGTTTTGATATCAGGGTATTGCTGATCCATGTAATGTGATTACAAGTATTCCCTCATCTTTAATTTTTGAAACAGGTTGATTATAATTTGTGTTAGTTTTTTTAATATTTGGTAGAATTCAGCAATAAGATAATTAAGTCCTGAGCTTTTCTTTGACAACTTTTTGTTACTCCTTTGATCTTGTTACGAATTATTGGCGTGTTCATGTTTTCTATTTCTTCATGATTCGATTGTGGTAGGTTGCTTGTATCTAGAAATTTAACTGTGTCTTCTAGGCTTTCCAATTTGTTGATGTGTAGTTGTTTATAACCCTCAAATCACCATTTGTATTTCTGTGGTATCAGTTGCAGATTTTCTTGTCTCTGATTTTATTTATTTGGCCCTCTCTCTTTCTCTTTTGTTTTGATACAGGGTCTTGTTCTGCTGCCCAGGCTGGAGTGCAGTAGCACAAACATAGCTCACTGCAGCCTTGACCTTCTGGGCTTGGGTGATCCTCCTGCCTCAGCCTCCTGATTTGCCAGAACCACAGGTGTGTGTCACCATGCCAGACTAATTTTTGTAAATTTTTTGTAGAGATGGGACCTCACCGTGTTGCCCAGGCTGGTCACAAAACCCAGGGCTCAAGCAATTTTCCTACCTTGGCCACCCAAACTTTTGGGATTACAGGCATGAGCCACTGCACTCAGCTTTTTTTTTTTCTTAGTCTAGTAAACATTGGTTGATTTTGTTTAACTCCTAAAAACATATTTTCATTGTCTTGATCTTTTGTATTTTTTAAATCTTAATTTTATTTATTTAAACTCTGATCTTTATTATTTATTTCCTTCTATTAATTTCTAGTTTGGGTTCTTTTTGCCTTTGTAGTTCTTGAGATGTACTTTTGCATTTTTATCTGAAGAATTTCTATTTGATTGCCATAAACTTCGTTCTTAGCACTGCTATTAATGTATCCCATAGGTTCTGGTATGCTGTGTTTTCATTTTCATTTGTTTTAAGAAAATTTTCAATGAATTTCATAATTTCATTTACCCATTTGTTGTTCATCAGCATGTTGTTTAGTTTCCATATATTTTTACAGTTTCCAAAATGTTTCTTGTTACAGATTTCTAGTTTTATTACCTTGTTATCAGGAAAGATACCTGATAATGTTCCATGTGCTGATAAGAATGCATATTTTCTAGCAGTTAGATAAAATTGTCTATAAATATCTTGTAAGTCAATTTAGTCTAGAGTATAGCTTAATTCAAATGATTTTTGTTGATTTTCTTCCAGGATGATTTGTCCTTTGCTGAAAGCGGGGTGTTGAAGTTCCTTATTATAATTGTATTGCAGTCTGTTTCTCCTTTATGATCTGTTAATACTCGCTTTATATATTTCGGTACTCAGGTGTTTGGTGCATATATTTGCTATTGATATGTCCTTTTGCTGCATTGACTCTTTTATCATTATATAATCACTTCCTTTGTCTCTTTTTGCAGATTTGACTTCCAATCCATTTTATTTGATATGAGTATAGCTGCTCCTGCTCTTTTATCATTTCCATTTGCACGGAACAACTTTTTTCATACCTTCGCTTTCAGTTCATATTTGTCTTTATATGAGACGTGAGTTTCTTATAGGCAACACATAGTTGGGTCTTGTTTTTTTATTCCATTCAGCCTTTAAATATATTTTAATTGAAGAATTTGGCACATTTACATTCAATGTTATTATTGATAAATAAAGCCTTACTGTTGCCATTTTGTAACTTGTTTTATAGTTGTTTGTCACTCTCTTTTTTTCCTGTTTTCTTTTGTGTTTTAGTGATTTTCTCTGGTAGCATATTTCAAATCATTTAGTTTTATTTTTAGTGTATTTATGATAGCTTTTTTGCGCTTACCAAAAGACTTACAAAATAAATTCTATATTTATAACAAGTTATTTTAAACTGATAGAAACTTTAACTTTTTTGCACTGATTCCTTTTCATCTGAAGGAGATATTGCTTCTTCTTTTTGAATTTGCTATTTTTTGGATGAAATTTTTAATTTTTTTTTTTCCTTGAAGGTACGACTGTGATGTTTGTTGCATACAATTGTTGGGCTACATTTCTGGGTGATTTCAGGGAGCCAAGGCTCTGTATGTGTTCCTTGGTTGTAGGTAGCTTCTATGAAGTAGCTTTCGCAGATGCTGCCTGTTGTGGCAATGTATCAGATGTACAAGCCCATACACTTTCTCCTGAGGGGCCGAAGGTGTAGAGGTCTCAGGAAGCTTGTGAACTAGCACTAAGCCCTTTTTGTAGTAGGTTTTTTATTTGGTGTTGTATTCAGGCTGTAGTCCAGCAGACGGCAATTAAAAGTAAGGTTTGGCTCACCCTCAGGCTGATGTCCAGTGAAAGCACCTGCCCTGATGTAGAGTGATGGGAAGAGATTGTGTTGGAGTGTGCTGAGGTCTCAGGGTAAAGAGCAGGAGTCTACACCAGTTCCTCATCCTGAGGCAGCAAGAAAGTGACTCGCTCCCCTATCATGCCCCTGTTGCAGGGCTCATGGCCTTTACTTCAGAAAGATTTCATCCTGTGGTTTCCAGCCACAGTGCATCTTTGGGTTGTGGATATGACATAGGGATTACCACAAAAACGCACCAAGGACAGAGCCATTTTCCCAGTTGAGGGCAGCAAATTTTGTGACTTGTTTGTCCCCTGTTGCCAGGATGCTATTCCTCTGTTTAGGGAGGGACAGTTGGATCCCGCCCTTTGTGTAAGCCTCAGTGGAGCAGGCTTACTTACAGTGTGGATGGAGCTGCTGCAAAAGGTGCAAAAAACACACAGTGTATGGGGAGTGGGAGAGGGAGGTGACTCTCTCCACATCTGTTCCTGGGTGTCAGTGTTGCCCTCTTCAGTGATTGGCACTGTACCTGCATTTCCTTTTCCCAAGAGGGCCTTGGTGAGATGAGCTCACTCCTCCTTACAGGTGAACCATAACAGGAGTTAGGTCTTCAGAGGTCCCACAGCTTTCTGGGGACCTCCTGATCCCTTCTGTTTCCACAGTTGGAGTAAGCTATAAGGTATGTTTGGGGGGATATGGTGTGGCAGTGACTCAAGGGCAGAGAATCCTTGAGCAGGACAGAGGTCCATCATGAGTGTACAACCCATATGGTGCCCACCATCTGAGATTGGCTTTGAGGTGGGCATGCCTTCAGAAGCTGGCCACCTATTTCTCTGTCCCCAGGAAGTACCCAAATTGTCACTGATAGCATTGCCTTGGGTCACAAGAGCAAAAGCGTGTCTCAACAGTTTGGCAATCAGCAGATTGTCAGAGGGGTGAGGGGAAAAATCACTCTCACCCACATTTTCCAATTCTCCAGCCTCAGCCTCCCAAGTAGCTGGGATTAAAGGTGCCCTTCACGATGCCCAGCTAATTTTTGTATTTTTAGTAGAGATGGGGTTTCACCATGTTGGACAGGCTGGTCTCGAACTCCTGACTGCAGGTGATCCACCCGCCTCGGCCTCCCAAAGTGCTGGGATTACAGGTGTGAGCCACCACACATGGCCATAATCTTTTTCCTATACGAGCTTCCTATTATTGTGGTTATTAATCCCTTGTCAGATGGGTAGTTTGCAAATATTTTCTCCCATGCTGTGGGTTGTCTCTCCACTTTGTTAAATGTTATTTTTGTTTTGTTGTAGTTTTTTTAAATTGACATTATTTCATTTGTTCATTTTTGCTGTGATGGCCCATGCTCCTGGGGTATTTCTCAAGAAATATTTTACCTGTCCAAAGTTTTGGAGAGTTTCCCCAATGCTTTATTTTAGTAATATCATAGTTTGAGGTCTTAGATTTAGTCTACAATCCATTTTGATTCGTTTTTTTTTTTGCATATGACATGAAATAGGGCTCTGATCTGATGAAGCTGAAAAGGGACCTCAGAGCTTGAAGACCAGCTCTCTAAAATAACTCAGGCAAAAATAAAAGACAATAAAGAAGAAGGAACAAAACTCCTGATAAATATGGGATTATATAGAGACTAACTCCACATCTCATTGGTATCTCTGAGAAAGACTGGGAGTAACCCAGCAATTTAGAAAACATATTTCAGGATATCATTTAGGAAAATTTCTCCAAATTCACTAGAGAGGCCAACAGTCAAATTCAGGAAATGCAGAGAACCCCCGTGAAATACTACACAAGACACATAGTCATTAGATTTCCCAAGGTTGACATGAAAGAAAAAAATGTTAAAGATAGCTAGAGAGAATGGGCGGGCCACCTTCGAAGGGAACCCCTTTAGCCTAACAGTGGACCCTTCAGCAGAAACCTTAGAGGGCAGAAGAGATTGGGGGCCTATATTCAGGATCTTTAAAGAAAAGACTTCCCAGCTAAGAATTCCATATCCAGCCAAACTAATCTTCATAAGTGAAGGAGAAATAAGATCTTATTCAGAAAAGCAAATGTTAAAGGGTTTTATTGCCACCAGACTTGCCTTACAGGTGGTCCTGAAGGGAGTGCTAAACATGGACAGGAAAAGCTATTACCAGCCACTACAAAAACACCCTTAAGTACATAGACCAGTGACACTATTAAACAACCATATAAACAATCTGCTTAATAACCAGCTAACAACATGATGATAGGATCAAATTTACATATATCAATACTAACTTAGAATGTAAACATGCTAAACGTCCCAATTAAATTACACAGTGTGGCAAGTTTAATAAAGCAGCAAGACCCAACAGTATGCTGTCTTCAAGAGATTTATCTTACAGGCAATGACACCCATAATATGGGGATGGAGAAATTCTATCAAACAGAAAACAGAAAAAAGCAGGGGTTGCTATTCTAGTTTCAGACAAAACAGACTTTAAACCTATAAAAATCAAAAAGGACAAAGAAGGTTATTACATAATGGTAAATGGATCAATTCAACAAGACCTAACTATCTGAAATATATATGCACCTAATACAGAAGTACCCATATTCATAAAGCAAGTTCTTGGAGACCTACAAAGAGACTTGGATAACCACACAATAATGGTAGGAGACTTCAACACCCCACTGGCAGTATTAGGGAGATAATCAAGGAAGAAAACTAACAAATATATTCAGAAACTGAACTTGACACTTGACCAAATAGACTGAATAGACATTTACAGAACACTCCACCCAAAAACAACAGAAAATGTATTCTTCTCATCTGCCCATTTCATATAATCTAAAAAATCAACCACCCAGTCAGATATAAAACAATCTTCAGCGAATTCAAAACAACCAAAATCATACCAACCTTACTCCCAGATCACAGCAAAATAAAAATAGAAATCAATACTAAGTAAATTGCTCAAAGCCATATAATTACATGAAAAGTAAACAACCTGCTTCTGAATGACTTTTGGGTAAACAACAAAATTAAGGCAAAAATCAAAAATTCTTTGAAACTAATGAGAAGAAAGATACAACATACCAGAAACTCTGGGACATAGCTAAGGCAGTGTTAACCTTTTCTTTAATCATTCAATAATTAATTCTACATATTCTTCTCCGAACTAAATTTCTCCCTCAGCCAAAATCTTCCCTAAGGTTGTGTTTATCTTAGTCCATAGACCTGTACTGTTACTCACTCTTTATCTCTCAACTTCAACCCATACATACCTTCCTAATGTCCTCCCATTTCACATAGCCCCTACTTTTTCTTTACATGTAACCTTATTGTATAATAAGTAAAACCTCTCTCTGTAATACTCTTATAAGACTGTGTCAGTTGCAGATGCCCAATCTCTTCCCTTCTATCAATTTATGCATCTACCCTCCGGCAATATTTTTCCTCTTAATCTGGAATTTCCTTTTGCTGTATAATTTGTAGTATATCACAGGTTCATGTAGGCACCCATGTTTGTACCCTTTTCTTGCTGACTATTGATCTTGGCTCCTAAATTTGTGGATCAGCATGTCAATACCCAGATATCTTGCCATCCCTGAAGTTGCTAGTCACTACTTTCAAACTTTGAGTGCTACTCTTTTTTCAGAGGCCATTGTCCTATCTACTATATATATATATATGATTATATATACAAATATATAATTTAGACTATATATACACATATATAATTTTTATCCACTGATGTCCGTTGTACATTTATTTAATTTTAAAAAGTCAATTTAGATAAAATCATTATGTACATAATGCAAGTGTTACTTGGATATGGCAGATGTCTTGGGTGGTAAACGCAATTCACTGAATTTGGCAAATACTATTTTTTAAAGTGCCTGACAGAGTTATACATTTATCAGAGACTCAGTAAAGCTAATTACTTTTCCTTCTAAATTTTAGATGTAATAATTAAATATATTAGAATTACATGTATACAACTAGAAAATTGAAGCTTCAAGTTACATCTGCCATTTCCTCCACAAAGCTGGGGGATTTTTAGGGTACTCTTTATTTGTAGCTCATTTTCAGGAAAGAGATACAATATAGATAAGAAAAAAAGAGTGAGAAAAAGATGAAGAAACAGTATCATGTGTAATTTTTAAATGGCTAGAAAGTCTGTCCAGTTTCAAACCTAACATGGATGAAGGATGTAGAGAATAATTTCTGGGAGGGAAATTTTGTGAGGATGAACTTTCTGTTATTTCTTCTTTCTTGTGAGGATCAGTGAATCTGATATACATTCCCTGATACCCAAGTTGTTCTAATGTAGTGTACTTGGGAAATACGCACTGTTGTGTATATCTATCCAGATATATAATATATGATTTTCTAAATGTGTTCCAAGTATAAAGGATGCACTATTATATAAGCAAATAAGAACAAAAGGCTCAGTCTGAAATAGTCTTTAGTGACATCTAGAAAAACCTGTGATAGCTTAAATTTTTTTTATCTTGTAGCTATGATGTTTAAAGTTAGTGAATATTGATTTCCCTCTTCTGCTTCATTCAACACAGATTTCCCAGGTGATTTACTCTTATTAAAACAACTGTCTATGCCTCTTAATAACATTCAAGCTAATGACATTGACATTAGGTCCTATTATTTCTGTCTGTCTCTGTTAATTGTTCTTACCTGTTTTCTTTGTTACAAATTGTCTTAGATCAGTTTCACTAGGAAAAAGACTCTGAGTAGAGACTTATGTTCAGTATGACTTGAGGAAAGGGAAATGCCATGGGCAAGAACAACTGTGAGTATGAAAGAAGCAGGATTACTCATAGGGGGAGTTTGAACATAAAGTACTTAAAAGTCTTCAGATAATTTCGGGTGTGGGGGCTGGAGTTGGGGTGGCACTTCAGAGATGTTCTAAAATGAGGCAAGGTGGCCAAGTTTTTTACCCTATCATTGGCCAGTAATTGGAGGTGTGCCAGCCATGGAAAGAAATGTAACCTTGTGAGTGACAGTTCCCTTGGTTCAAAGCAATTACTAGGGATTACACTGTATTCAGAAGGCAGAAATCCTTGATGTTTGGGCAATGAGGGTCTCAATTTTTAAGAAGAGTATCTGATTAGCATATCATAATATCCACTACAAAACCATGTCCTCATTTTTCTTTTGATTACCAGATTTTTTTGAAAATTTCCTTCATGATATTTTTTTTTTGAGATGGGGTCTTACTCTGTTGCCCAGGCTGGAGGGCAGTGGCACAATTACAGTTCACTGCAGCCTTAACCTCCTGGGATCAAGGGGTCCTCCCACCTCAGCCTTCTGAGTAGCTGGGACCACAGGCATGTGCCACCACCCCTAGATAATATTTTTATTTTTGTGTCTCACTCTGGTGCTCATTTTTATTTTTGTGTCTCACTCTGGTGCTCATTTTTATTTTTATTTTGTATCTTACTATGGTGCCCATGCTGGTCTCAAACTCGTGGGCTTAAATGATGCTCCTGTCAGCCTCCCAAAGTGCTGAGATTACAGACAGGAGTCACCGTGCCTATTTCTGTGTGGTTTGTTTTAATATCATCAATTGTCTCAGAGTCTGAGACAAAGCAAATATATATGTTTAATTCTCTCTTTCTATATATATATATATATGTATGTGTACATATATATGTGTACATATGTATGTGTACATATGTATGTGTACATACATATATACACACACATAGATATATAAATATATCAAATACATATTTGGACAAATGAATGATTCATGTTACATTTCCCTGGACAAATATGTATTTATAATAAAGACTAGATTCTATAGATTATTCAACAGCATAACTACTCTATGAAGAATATATTGAGAATATGTATTTGTTGTTGTTACTTCATACTGTCTGTTGATATAGTCACCCTCTAAGTGAAGTCATTTAAAAATGTTTGTAGCATAAGTACAGTTTCAAATTTTCACATAGTGCATATGTTTTATGTTATCTGTGCAATGATATTTTAAGTTATAGCATCTTTATTGAAAAAAATACAGTAAAATATCAGGAATAACTCTGAAAGGACAAACAGCCAAATGCTTAAAGATCCAAAATGCCATGTAATTCCAAATGTTTTTAAATCTTTTAGTAACTTACATATCAATATTTAACTTCTAATTTTCTCTACTCTCTATTAATTAATAAGTAGCCTAGTGTCTCTCAGTTAAATTATGCAAGTCACTTGCTTGCTTTTATTTTTGTGTCATTCTTATTCTGACTGCCAGGTACTTCTAGGTGTTACTAAGAAGGAGTGAGTGTTATCATGAGAATATCTAGCAGAAGGTAAAGTTTTCTCATAATAAGTTAGTGAAGGTTATTGTGTTTATATTCTATAAGCACAGATTCAGAAGCAAGATAATGATATGTAACTTCCTCCATTCACAGAAGTGGCTCTTTCATCTGGCTCTTTCATGAAGATGAGAATGAGAAATTTCAAAATTATCCCAGTATTTCTTTCATTAAGCTGTGTGCTTAGACATTCACACAAATACTTTATCCCAGCTAATAATGTTAAGCTCTCAAAAGATGGTGTAGTTTGAGTCTATTGAAATAATAGAAAGTGTCATTTAGTAAAAAATAATAAAAATTGTTTAATGGAATTTTATTCACCCAGCTCTCTTTCAGATATCAAGAATGGTGACAGGTTTGACATTTTATCCTGCTTGTAAGCTAACAAGTTAACTTGCTGCAGTTTCATAGATACTGGCAAAAGACATGGGGCACCTGGGTCAGAGAGAAAGGACTTTATTACTCAAGGGGCAGAGAAGGCAGCATGACCTTCATATTTGCATTGATTTCTCTTGCTCTTCAAGTCACACAAGGGTAATGCAGAGTGGCACAGGTAAATACTACACACAGTGAGTTCGTGTCACACACAAGGAACCTAGAGTTTAGGAAACTATCAATCATGTAAGAGGGCTGCTTGCAAACTTGCCCAACCTTTGCCCTTGAAGGAGACATCATCTTTATTATACTGGTTAGGAAAGAAATCTATCCTCTGCCCTTGGGTCCAGCAGGGAGACAGTATCTCCAGCTTCCAAGGTTGTTTGCTATACAAATACCCATTAAAAGACTGGAACAACAGCTGTCAGTGTCTCTTCACAAGACATGTAGCAACAACATGACAAATTTTCTCTAACTACCTACCTATTCACTAGCGTGGGCTATAATGAGTCTTAGAAAAGTTGAAGATTTTCATATCTGAACCATGTTTAGGCTGATGTTTCCTTTCCTCTTCCTGAACCCAGATAATTAGAATACAGCAAGAACAAGAAGAGTAAATAATCCTTTATCAAATCCGTAGATAACCCTAATCATCACTTTAGTGCATAATAACTCGTTCTTATTTCCTAGCTGGGTACTAGATGCAATAAATTATAAATGCCTGGTTACTCAAGTTTTACTGTTTCAAAAAAGAAAGTTTTATAAAATTAATATTAGTTTTTAGCATCATACTATTCAAACGTTTTAATAAAATGTATGGGTTGATTTAATATACTGATCTAAATAAATAAATAGTTTTTATTTCAAATAGACAATTGAGCAAATAACTACAGACTAACTTTATTTTAGTATATTGATGCATATTATACTTGAACACTAAATAATAGAGGTCTAATTATAATTAAAGTCTGTTTTATAGAATATGAATAACTATAGTACTGGATTCTTAGTGCATAAGTCCACAGTTTCTGGGCTTCTATCCCAAACCCTGATGCAACAAGGAATCCAAAATTCACACATCATAGACACTTACTCTATCTGCCCCTTTATTTCTATTGATTAAATTATCCAAGATTGGCTCTATGTAAAACTAATGGTATCAAACAATAAGTAGGCCCCTTAAGAGTGAGAATAAAATCCAATATTGTTTGGGAATTCACTTTTTTATCATAATTTTAGAAAATTTCCCTCAATGCTTTTCATGCTTTCAATTTAACTTTTAAGGTACCTTGTATAAGCCAGAATAAAATTACTATCACACATGTGAGGCAGTCTGATTTTTCCATAAACCTGAAATTGTTCTGGCTAAATATGTCTAAAACATAATTTATGAGGAGATATTCAATGCACTGATGACACTGAAATGCTAGGAGGCAAACCAAAAAAAACTTTGTTATAAGATAAACTTTTGAAATATAATTTTAAACTAGTAAAAAATTGAGAACATTAAAATAGTAATAGGCTGCCATCTTCAGGGTTCTATAATTTATTTCCTCTAAAAAATGTATTCTACTCTGTGTTGAGTATATCATTTTCTAGTCATTGTCATGTTAAAAGTAAGCTAATATTTTAGATGCTAGTTACTATGTAAATATGAAGTAAAGAAAGTATCTTATACCCATATTTTATTAAAAAATTATGTGAATTATGAAAATTATTAATATAACCATAAATATACATGCTTGTTCCTACATCTTTAAGAAAAAATAAGGATATCTATAAAGTGTTGAGTTGATTTGTAAATTAAAGAACAAGAGAACACAGAGCCAGGCGCTGTGGCTCATGCCTGTCATCCCAGCACTTTGGGAAGCAGAGGTGGGTGGATCACTTGAGGACAGGAGTTTGAGACCAGTCTGGCCAAGATAGTGAAACCCCGTCTCTAATAAAAATACAAAAATTAGATGGGCGTAGTCGCACCCACCTGTAATCCCAGCTACTCAGGAGGCTGAGGCAGGAGAATCACTGGAACCCAGGAGGTGAAGGTTGCAGTGAGCCGAGATTGTGCCACTGCACTCCAGCCTGGGTGGCGACACAGCGAGACTCTGTCTCAGAAAAAAAAAATGAATAAATAAAGTAAAAAATAGAACACTTTATTTTTTTGAACATTGGACTGAATTATTCATGTTTTTTTTAAGTAAAAGCATGGTTCCCCTACTTTGGTACTTATGAAAATCTTTCAAGTGGGTTGCTAGAGAAGGATAAATCTAGGATTGTTTCGTTTACATTTTTCTAATTTCTCCATTCTGACTCAATTCTAATTTTAATATGTCATTTCTAAAGTTTTAGCTAAATAGATGTCTTTGTATTTTGGGAAAAAAAGTGAAAATGTAAATACTATCAAGTTTAACTATTTTTCTGCATTCAAATTATGTTTTCAAATTCTGTGGAGGTTTACCAGCAAATATATTGATTCTATGGATGGTAATATGTCAGTGATAAAACCCGTTTTTTTTTAATAACAAGTACTATTTTTATTTCATCCCTAGTTAGGAAAAGTGAAAAAAAGAAGAATGTTTCTTTTTTATTTTTGTTAGTTTCTACCTGATGGCTTATGTTTTTGTAAAATTATCTTTTATATTCAAAAGAAAATGAGATAAAAATTAATATAGAATATATTTTTTAATGGAGAAATATTCAGTTTTTTGAATTGTCTTTGTTTAACTGTTTAATCCAATCCATTGCTCACACTGAATAATTGTATCTGGAAGCATCAAATTTTCCTCCAGATGAACAAATTTGACCTGTTGTAGATGTAGCTTAAGTATCCTCTGCTTCAAGTTTAGAATTTCTATAATACAGTATATCCATGGATGAAATAAATTCTATATGCTATTTCAAATATAAGTACATACATATTAAATAAGGCATAATGTGCAAAAAGTTTCCTATTCAATTCCAGTTATAACATGCAGTGACAATAGCATGCATTTACTCTGTGACCTGGTAAAGTCATTCAATTTTCTAGAAACTGCTTCCATACATTTAATCATGCCATGAAAATTAAAAAATTTTAGATTGTTGCAAAGATTAACTAACACATAAAATTATGCTGGCATAGTGCTTCACATATAATGGGTACTCAAAGTATAAATTATATAACACATACATATTATATAAAATACATGCACTGCATACATATTACATATTATATTCCTATATTCATTATATATTAAATATAAGATGGTAAAAAATATGAGGTGTAGTTATAGACTCTAACTTTAATGAGTATGCAGATTAAATAAAAGAAGTATAGATGTTTGAGCTGCAAGAACAAGATAAGGAACGTCTTAAATATGTGCACACATTTGTGCATGTATGTATGGAGGGGAAGGTAAACTTTGTGTAGTGATTGTGAACAATGGTGAATGTGCTATACAAGCAAAAAGGTTTACAGTTATATGGTATCAATTTAATATTTGTTCACTTTTACTTCAAACTGTTTCACTTCTATCATATACTTTTTTATGAGTTTTGTTATTATTCTGTATCTTCAAAATTACCCAAGTATTGTGTATTTTATAGTATGTTGAATCTTTTTATTCCAGACATAGGAATTCTTCTCTAATTACAAATATACAATACAACTTTCTATGTCTTCAAATTGGTTTTTATTGAATATATGGAGAACATTTCAGATAATACATGTAGCAGAATCTCTGGAAACACTTGGTAGAACTTTGTCTGGCCTTCCAATATATGTTTGCTATCTTAGTCAGGATCCTGTTAACTTGGATTCTTTTATGTTAACAATATTTACATCTACAGAAATAGATGTTAAGACAGTGAAAACATTTACTTGGTTCAAATGCTGACTCAATATAGATGACAGGTCTGATATTTCAATGATGTACTTGTAAAAGCAAAGTATAAACAGATGTTTCCTCACTCCCCATAGGTATTTCTTACTGAGAGGTACTATTAGTTTGTGTTCCTTTCTGCTACTCCCTCTAATAATACTAAAATTTATGTTCATGCAATTTTGTCTTACTTTAGTAGTCAAATTATGAATTTTAGAAGTTATATTTTAAAATGAATTTACCCCAATTTAATTTAATTCCCAGAAGAGCTGCATGAATGTTGTCTTAATTCAGAGTAAGTGTTAAAAAGCCTTCCACAGATGGGACAAAAGTATTTCCAACCATTATTGGTGTTTGTGATCATAACATTCATGGTATGGATATATGTCAATATATCCACAAAACCTTTTATATTAAAAATACTTTCAATTTGTATCTGTGACACAAAGAGCACAGACCTCACAATAGCACGGAATCTACATTTCCCTTTAGTGTCAGTTGATTTGCAAAATTTTCCTGATGTCATTCTCTCAGTGAGGGGACGGTAGTAGTGCACCCTCGAAGGCCTTCTAAATGTTATGGCTCTCTCGTGATGGGTGAAACTATTTGGATGGTAAAGACATGCTATATATTTTCGCTTTACCCACATGGTATTCTGACACCCTGCAGCCTGAGAGAAATATCTATCACATAGCAGATGGAGAATCATACTTCTTATCTCATGACTGTTAATAAATGGGACTCTCCATGAAGTTGAAAGTCGAAAACGAGTTTTGTGATTTATGGGGAAATTGTTTGCTTTCATCTCAACTTTCCCTGAGTGGGATCTTGATCTATCATTTAAGGGCTTGTGAGAGACCAATTTTCTGGGAATGGGGGTCTGAAGTAGAAGAAGCTCTTCTTTTAGATCTTCTTCTCGTTGATCTTTTTGGATCTCTGTTTCGAGCTCGCTGTTTTCTGCTGCTTGAGGAACAACATCTTCCTGGGAGGTTGCTGTGCCTGGCTCCCTGTTTATTGGGTTGGTTTCTACCTGATAGATCATATTGGGATCAGCAGATGGAGACTCTATGTCTGTACTACAGTCATTAGGAGGCTCATTTTCAGAATTTTTGTGAGCATTTCCAGCTGTATCACTTCCTTCTTTAGTAGGATAACTCATCCTGGGTTCTATTTATGGGAAAGAAGACAAAGATTTACTAAATTTATGTATGTTCCATTTTATAAGAAGTCAATTCTTTGGTCATGGCAAAAAGCCTGTGAATGTGCTATTTCTGTGCCTTCTCGCAACTATAAATATTGTATCAGAGTCACAAACCCACAGAATAAAGTGAAAACTGAGGGCAAATGTAAGCCTCCTATTAAATATGTTTTCTCATAACTTAATTATGGAATTTCAGTAAACTTGGAATAACATAACCTCTCATTTGGCTATTTTAGGTATATACCCTATGCACTAGAACACATTTAGTTCTGAAGAGAAGGCCCAATTATTTCCTTTTGGATGGTGAATTATAAATAATTTTCATTGAATAAGATGGATCTGTATTACCCACCTGAGAATTTAAAATGGGGCTAAAATAGGAGGAAGGTATTATGAGTGTATATGTTTAAAAGAAAATTAAGACCTATGTGAAAATGATATGGTTGAATTTGTATAAGGTACAAGCCGTTCTTCCCCTGTAATTTTTACTTTTCTTAAAAACCTACGTTTTTAAAAGTAATGTCTAGGCCAAGCGCGGTGTCCCATGCCTGTAATCCCAGCACTTTGGGAGGCTGAGGCGGGCGGATCACCTGAGGTCAAAACTTCAAGACCAGCCTGACCAACCTGGTGAAACCCTGTCTCTACAAAAAATACAAAAATTAGCTGGGCATAATGGTGGGCGCCTGTAGTCCTAGCTACTTGGGAGACTGAGACAGGAGAATCGCTGGAACCCAGGAGGCAGAGGTTGCAGTGAGCCGAGATCGTGCCATTGCACTCCTGCCTGGATGACAGAGCAAGACTCCATCTTTAAATAAATAAATAAATAAATAAATAAATAAATAAATAAAATGGATAAATAAAATAAAAGTAATGTCTGTACAAAGAGGTGCAATTGTGAATCGTGAGAAGGGAAAGTAGGGTAGATAAGAAAGTAGGAAGCTGATGAATGAAATTCAAATTCTGAGTTCATTTATTAAAATGTCTTCCAAATTCACCACTTTCTGTTCATTCTCAATGCCTCAGCACTAGTCAAGCTGAAAATTACCTCATGCTTGCTTTACTACTTATAGTGGCAGATTTCACTGATGGCAAACTCTACACTCACCACTCTCCTGTCACCCCTCTCCTCTTACCTTTTACTTTCCTTATGTCTTTTACCCGCTCAAACACTTTCAGTGTACCCTAATACTCTGAACTCTATGCTTCCACTTCTACTCTATGAGAGGACTTTGAACAATCAACTTGAGAAATTTCTTCAGAGCAGGATTATGGGCAGGGAACATTCTTACTGAATTCCATGGTGGAGAAAGGCGAATGCAAGTGGGCTGAAAAGAAATCTGGTGGAGTGGTGGAGTTTGAGAAATTGACTAACATGGTTTTTATTCTCATGGCTAGTTTTTATGAGCTAACATAGGCAGGATTTATGGATAAGTTAGCAGGATTTAAAGATGTAGAATTGATGTAGAATTATGTGGAACCTTATCTCATAACTGCAGTCTTCAGAGACCCTCCACAATCTGACTCCATCTCCCCTAACCAACTTTTTCCTCTATTCACTCAACATGCTTTCTCTGTTCCAATACTGCTGAGCTTTTATTATCTCATGCTCATTATTCCCTTCAATTTAATCTTCAATTATTTTTTTCAGAGTTTGATATTAATTCAAGGGTGACTATTTTTCTATCAAACGTTATATCTTTTATTGGAGGTAGTGACCCCACTGTCAATATTAGACAGATCAATGAGACAGAAAATTAACAAGGATATTCAGGACTTGAACTCAGCTCTGGACCTAACAGACATGAACAGAGCTCTCCACCCCAAATCAACAGAATATACATTCTTCTCAGCACCACATCGCACTTATTCTAAAATTGAACACATAATTGTAAGTAAAACACTCCTCAGCAAATGCAAAAGAAAGGAAATCATAATAAACAGTCTCTCAGACCACAGTGCAATCAAATTAGAACCCAAGATTAAGAAACACTAAAACTGCACAACTACATGGAAACTGAACAACCTGCTCCTGAATGACTACTGGGTAAATAACGAAATGAAGGCAGAAATAAATAAGTTCTTTGAAACCAATGAGAACAAAGTCACAACAAACCAGAATCTCTGGGACACAGCTAAAGCAGTGTTTAGAGGGAAGTTTATAGCACTAAATGCCCACAAGAGAAAGCAGGAAATATCTAAAATCGGCACCCTAACCTCACGATTAAAAGAATTAGAGAAGCAAGGGCAAACAAATTCAAAAGCTAGCAGAAGACAAGTAATAGCTAAGATCAGAGCAGAACTGAAGGAGACAGAGACAAAAAACCCTTCAGAAATCAATGAATTTAGGAGCTGTTTTTTTGAAAAGATCAACAAAATAGATAGACCGCTAGCCAGACTAATAAAGAAGAAAAGGAAAAGAATCCAATAGATGCAATAAAAAGTGATAAAGGGGATATCACCACTGATCCCACAGAAATACAAACTACTACCAGAGAATACTATAAACACCTCTACACAATTAAACTAGAAGATCTAGAAGAAATGGATACATTCCTGGACACATACACCCTCCCAAGTCTAAACCAGGAAGAAGTCGAATCCGTGAACAGACCAATAACAAGTTCTTAAATTGAGGCAGTAATTAATAGCCTGCCAACCAAAAAAAGTCCAGGACCAGACAGATTCACAACCAAATTCTACCAGACGTACAAAAGAGGAGCTGGTACCATTCTTTCTGAAACTATTTTAACAATAGAAAGAGAGGGACTCCTCCCTAACTCATTTTATGAGGCCAGCATCATCCTGATACCAAAACCTGGCAGAGACACAACAGAAAAAGAGAATTTCAGGCCGATATCCCTGATGAACATCGATACAAAAATCCTCAATAAAATACTGGCAAACCAAATCCAGCAGCACATCAAAAAGCTTATCCACCATGATCAAGTCAGCTTCATCCCTGGGATGCAAGGCTGGTTCAACATACGCAAATCAGTAAACATAATCCATCATATAAACAGAACCAATGACAAAAAACACATGATTATCTCAATAGATGCAGAAAAGGCCTTTGACAAAATTCAACACCCCTTCATGCTAAAAACTCTCAATAGACTAGGTATCGATGAAACGTATCTCAAAATAGTAAGAGCTATTTATGACAAACCCACAGCCAATATAATACTGAATGGGCAAAAACTGAAAGCATTCCCTTTGAAAACTGCCACAAGACAAGGATGCCCTCTCTCACCACTCCCATTCAAAATAGCATTGGAAGTTCTGGCCAGGGCAATCAGGCGAGAGAAAGAAAGGGCATTCAAATAAGAACAGAGGAAGTCAAATTGCCTCTGTTTGCAGATGACATGATTGTATATTTAGAAAACTCCATCGTCTCAGCTCAAAATCTCCTTAAGCTGATAAGCAACTTCAGCAAAGTCTCAGGATACAAAATCAGTGTGCAAAAATCACAAGCATTCCTATACACCAATAATAGTGATCACAATTGAAGTTTATCTCGTATCTTTGTCTTGTGCTGTTTCTAAGTCATGGAGTAGTATACTTTTCATTTCCACCAACTTTTAAGTATTTCATTCTTTTGCTTCTGTTACTATGTGATACTTTCTTATCCTGCTTTATTTATCTTTATTTTACTTATGTTTTTTTGTACGTGCATTGTAAAACTCTAACATTTAAATATATGTATTTCTCAATCTCCATTCTCTAGTATACTTTTGCTTTACTTTCTTCTTCAGAGTCCTCACACACTCTGATCATTTCACAGGCATATTTTTGGGTCCTTGCTAAGCTTTGCTGAGTTTTATGTTTTTAATATTGGCAATTGGAAAATCTCTCTACATAAACATCTCAGCATCAGCAGTTAGCATCAAGGTAAAACAATAGACAGAGTCTACATTTTAGAGACTTTCTAAATAAAGTAAATTGAACTCACAAAATTTGAGGATAGTATGACTGGCTGCTTCTCAGTAAGGCTGAAATGCAGTAATTCGGTGAGAACTGAAGTTGCTGGAGGTCATCTAAGGCTTGTCAGATGCACCCTGAAAACAAATAAAGATATTTTCATAAAAGAAAGGAAAAAATAGCTCCTGCACCTTCTTCCCCCAAGAAAAGCATCTATGCTGCTCTGCTGTTTGGTAGGGTCTTCCACTTGCACATTCAGGATAACTATGAGATTCATTGTTCCCTTCTACATTCTGAAATAGGTTTGTATATAAGAAATATCCAGTGTTAGGAAGGGGAACATCACACACCGGGGACTGTTGTGGGGTGGGGGGAGGGGGGAGGGATAGCATTAGGAGATATACCTAATGCTAAATGACGAGTTAATGGGTGCAGCACACCAACATGGCACATGCATACATATGTAACAAAACTTTATGTTGTGCACATGTACCCTAAAACTTAAAGTATAATAATAATAAAATTTAAAAAAAAAGAAAATTGCTAAAAGGGTAGATTTTAAGTGTTCTCACTACAAAAAATAAAGATAAGTATGTGAGACAAAAAAAAAAGAAAAAAATACATATGTAAATACACACACACACACACACACACACACAAAAGAAATATCCAGTGTTCATTGTGAATATACTAGTATATTTATCACATATATTTATGTCACTCAACTATGTTAAGACTGGTTTTTCAATAAACATAATATGTGATATCTAAAGGCGTATTGCCCTCTGAAATGTAATTACATCACAAAACTATGTACTTAAGTTTATTATTACTCATTAAAAATTAAACGTTCCCTGGAATTGCACAAGAAGGCTATATGTATTCTGTTAAACCTCTCAATATTTATTATTTAATGTTTGGACATATGTTTGGAAATAGTCAACAATCATATGTCTTTCTTATTTAATCTTTTTTTTTAAATAACTCAGCCAAATGACTGTGTTTACCACCGAGTCTGCTGTTTTCTTCTGTTTTCTGGTATTTTTAAAGTATTTAGTGTTCTATACTTCACTTACATAGAGCATTATAAATATATGTATTAAATATAAACACTAAAAATATATATACATTAAATATAAATTTTAATATATATTAAAAATAAACCAAAATGCTTCAGTGTATGTATACACACACACACACACAACATTTCACTGTTTGTTATACAGAAAACCAAAATCATTTTTTCCACAAAGATAAATGTAGATGTATATGCCTGATAGCTTTTAAAATTATAATGTTTAAAATCCTTAAAATAAATGACATTTGAGTTGATAATCAGGGCCCTGAAGAAGCACAATATTACACTTTATTCTAAATACCAGGGTTGTGTTTTCAAATATTCTCTTCTGACCAAGATTTTTACATAATGACCTGTTGAGAATCAAAAGATACATATGGAGTTTTAAAAGAACCTGACTGTTTTGAATCTTTCTAAATCAGTTTTGATTATCCTTTATATTGAAAGTAGTTTATTTGTATTCTATTTATACTGTATCCTCCAATGCCCACATGCTCTGGAGAAAGACATGCATTACTTCTAACAAAACTTTAAATATTTTACACTAAATTACATTAATGACTCATCAGCTCAATCAGACTTCTTTATGTAAATGTCCCATCTTTCCCTGCTGACAAACCCCTCCAATATACAAGTTCACTTCACCTCAGATGAAAGAGCTTCAACTAACATATGCCTTCTGATTCCCATGCACTCATGACTGGCCAGAAATCCCCACCATATCCTAATTTCTTCAATTGAGGGACCTTATCTTCTGTTTCTTTCAAATTTGTTAGTTTTACTTTAAAATGATTGCATCACTCAAAATGTTGTGACAAATGAAACCAGGAACTTTTCTGCATATGTTCATATCAAACATATGTGAACATATTAAATCCCTGACCCAGAGCGACAACTCTCAGAATAAGATCTACATCAACAAATGATAAATCAAGAAACCAAAGCTAACTTTAAAATAATTTCTTACGTATATTCTAAAATGGATACACAAGCTAAGAAGCACTTACTAAGATCCCTTATGCTTTCTCTTTCACTTTCAACTCACAGTTTATCTTCATTCTCATTCGTCAAAATCCTTAGGAAAGGTGTGCTTCACGGGGTCCTGCCTTCTTGACCCCTTTTCTTCTGCCCTCTACCTCTCCACTTACTCCTGTTTCACAGTTCTTTTGACTCTGCATCACAATGCCCACAAAACATGGAAACCTAGCAACCTAGAACCCTCTTCAGACTGTAGGGGGAGGGAATAACTGAAATGGCAAATTCAAAATCTTCTTTAGATGGCAGGCAAAGAGTTAAGGCTGGGAACACCCATGAGTTTATAACTCTTGCCGTATCACACACAAAATCCTAACTATATGCAATATT
Organism: Homo sapiens; assembly: GCF_000001405.40. Lineage (NCBI taxonomy): Eukaryota > Metazoa > Chordata > Mammalia > Primates > Hominidae > Homo > Homo sapiens. The sequence goes on along the minus strand of NC_000023.11, from coordinate 88,747,011 downwards.
CCCAATATTGAAACAGTGTGAAGACAGGATTGCCAGATGTAATACAAGACACCAGTAAAATTTGAATTTCTTATAAACAATACTTTTTTAGTATAAATATGTACCAAATATGATAACATATTGAGAGGTGACAACATGCTGGCAGCTCTCGCAGCCCTCGCTCACTCTCGGCGCCTCCTCGGCCTTGGCGGCCACTCTGGCCGCGCTTGAGGAGCCCTTCAGCCCCCCACTGCAATGTGGGAGCCCCTTTCTGGGCTGCCCAAAGCCGGAGCCAGCTCCCTCAGCTTGCAGGGAGGTGTGGAGGGAGAGGCTCCGGCGGGAATCAGGGCTGTGCACTACGCTTACAGGCCAGCACGAGTTCCGGGTGGGCGTGGGCTCAGGGGACCCGCACTCAGAGCGGCCGGCTGGCCTGCAAGCCCCGGGCAGTGAGGGGCTTAGCACCTGGGCCAGCAGCTGCTGTGCTCAATTTCTCGCAGGGCCTTAGCTGCCTCCCCAAGGGGCAGGGCTTGGGACCTGCAGCCCTCCATGCTTGAGCCTCCCCCTCCTCTGTGGGCTCCTGTGCAGCCCCAGCCTCCCCCACGAGCGCTGCTCCCTGCTCCACAGCGCACAGTCCCACTGACCACCCAAGGGCTGAGGAGTGCGGGCACACGGCGGGACTGGCAGGCAGCTCCACCTGCGGCCTAGTGCAGGATCCACTGGGTGAAGCCAGCTGGGCTCCTGACTCTGGTGGGGACTTGGAGAACCATTATGTCTAGCTAGGGGATTGTAAATACACCAATGGGCACTCTCTATCTAGCTCAAGGTTTGTAAACACACCAATCAGCACCCTGTGTCTAGCTCAGGGTTTGTGAATGCACCAATCGACACTCTGTATCTAGCTACTCTGGTGGGGACTTGGAGAACCTTTGTGTCACACTCTGTATCTAGCTAATCTAGTGGGGATGTGGAGAACCTTTGTGTCTAGCTCAGGGATTGTAAACACACCAATCAGCACCCTCTCAAAACAGACCACTCAGCTCTCTGTAAAATGGACCAATCAGCAGGATGTGGGTGGGGCCAGATAAGAGAATAAAAGCAGGCTGGGGAGCCAGCAGTGGCAATACGCTGGGCTCCCCTTCCACGTTGTGGAAGCTTTGTTCTTTCACTCTTTGCAATAAATCTTGCTGCTGCTCACTCTTTGGGTCCACACTGCTTTTATGAGCTGTAACACTCATCGTGAAGGTCTACAGCTTCACTCCTGGAGCCAGCGAGACCACGAACACACCAGAAGGACCGAACAACTCCAGACGCGCCGCCTTAAGAGCTCTAACACTCACGGCGAAGGTCTGCAGCTTCACTCCTGAGCCAGCGAGACCACGAACCCACCAAAAGGAAGAAACTCCGAACGTATCCGAACATCGGAAGGAACAAACTCCAGACACGCCGCCTTTAAGAACTGTAACACTCACCGCAAGGGTCCGCAGCTTCATTCTTGAAGTCAGTGAGACCAAGAACCCACCAATTCCGGACACAATATGTTTAGGGATTTTTTTTTTTTTTTTTTTTGAGACAGTGTCTCTGTCACCCAGGCTGGAGTGCAGTGGCACGATCTCGGGTCACTGCAACCTCCGCCTCCCAGGTTCAAGCAATTGTTCTGCCTCAGCCTCCGGAGTAGCTGGGGCTACAGGGGCTCGCAACTGCTCCTGGCTAAATTTTGCATTTTTAGTAGAGATGGGGTTTCACCACATTGGCCAGGCTGGTCTCCAACTCCTAACCTCGTAATCCGCCTGCCTCAGCCTCCCAAAGTGCTGGGATTCCAGGCGTGAGCCACCGTGCCTGGCCCCCATACGTTTTTAATAAAAATGTTGTTAATCTGAAATTTAAATTTAACTGAGCATTTTGTATGTTTATGTACTAAATCTGGTAACCCTACATGATGTTAATATATGACTGATTGCTCCATTTTATTAGGTTGGTTTACAAACTTTACACCATTTTCCTGTTCTTCCTTTTGTTAGTTTTCTGAACTGATTTTCCTTTAGTTTCTTAGCTTCCAAATATCAAACAATAGGGAGCCATATATTATTTGATTACATAACCAAATGTAATGGTTTTTTTTGACACTTTTCAATTTACTTTTATTTTCATAATTTCTCCAGCATACTTCTAATTTCCACCTTCTGTTGGTTTGGGGCAAGATGAGAGGGTTTCCTGGAACATGTGAGCCCCATGAGACTCAGAGGGGGTATTAGAGGTAAGTGTCTCTCATACCATACCATGAAAGGTAAGTGTCTCTCATCTTCATAGATGGAATCTATCCAGGAGGGACTGTCAAAAGTGAGTGATAAGACATTCATAAACCAAAGGTTCAATATAGGCACTAGAGAGAGACTAGGACTCAAACTGTGCCATCAGAATTGAACTGTTAGTCCAGAAATAAAAAAGTAATAGAATAAAGAAATAAAGACAAGCTTTAGATAAGGGCAGGTGAGCACATTAGTTCTCTTTCACGTATGAGCTTGTGTGAACATACTAAATACTATAAAAGGGGCCTAAGCAAATTACACTATTGATTCACTTTCCTTATTTTATTTTATTAGGTATTTTTGTATCTAATATTTATTTTCTTCCTTTTTTTCTCATGTCTATTGCTGCTACTACATTTAGTTGTGAGGGCTACAGAGTGTGAGCTAAAAATATAATCTCTAAGGATTCAGATTCGTTATGATATTCCTAGAAATCTTGTGAGGAAGTTCTTCCAGTAGTTTATTTTTATAAAAAACTAAAGAGCTTCATGAGAAACTATTTACATCAAAGACAGAGCCAGAGCACCTAAGCCTAGAATAAAGCAATTAAGCAGTGATTTTGAATATAATAGAGTCTATCTATATCTCTATGTCTATCTCCTATCTATCCATCTATATATCTATCTCTCTCTACCTACTCACCTGTCTATCTACTATCCTTGTTTTAATCCAGTCCTTTTAGAGACATATGTTGGGAAACTTAAGAAGCAAATAATACAGAAAAGGTGATTAATTTTTGTTTATGAAACAAACTTTCTTCACTGAGATGACTGTCAAAACACATCATAGCTTAAAATAATAAATGGTTACCCACCGAAAGTGTTGGTCTGAGAGGACAACAATATCTTAATCAGATAGCCAGAAAAAAATGAAAGAGGCCTAACAACTGGTAAGACAAATTTACACAAGGCCAAAATCAAATGCAGCTCTTTTAAACACATCCCCCAAGACATTAAGCTATGTACCTTAATTTGGGTGAAATAGCCATAACATTAGAATCAGGTTGCTACAGTAAAGCTTAGAGGAACACAAATCCAGTACCACCAATACCAGGAAAAGGAAAGAACAAATCTTGCATGTGGAAGCGGAAAGGGCCTCATTAGGTAACAGAAATGAAACAACCCCTGGGGAATTCCTGAGTTAGTAGAAGAGAGTTGAGAATAATATACATTAAGCATTTGTGGATGTAGAAAAAGTAAAATATTGTTGATGGGACCCTGTAGTAACACTTTTCTTTACATTATGTAGCTTGATTTATGTTTTTTACATTTTTGAATAATCCCACACTATTCTGATTTCTTCTTTTCAAGACATTTGTGTAGTTGCTAACTACTGCAGATTTCTTTTTTTTTTTTTTTTTTTTTTTTTGAGACGGAGTCTCGCTCTGTCGCCCAGGCTGGAGTGCAGTGGCGGGATCTCGGCTCACTGCAAGCTCCGCCTCCCGGGTTCACGCCATTCTCCTGCCTCAGCCTCCCAAGTAGCTGGGACTACAGGCGCCCGCCACTACGCCCGGCTAATTTTTTGTATTTTTAGTAGAGACGGGGTTTCACCGTTTTAGCCGGGATGGTCTCGATCTCCTGACCTCGTGATCCGCCCGCCTCGGCCTCCCAAAGTGCTGGGATTACAGGCGTGAGCCACCGCGCCCGGCCACTACTGCAGATTTCTAAAATTAAAATGCACTATTTGCAATTGTCATTATCTTAGGCATATCACATATTTTGCCTGAATATTCTATCAGTGGAGTATGGTACAGGATGAGGCAATAATTGTCTTTTGCTGATGATAATTATACAAGTAGTTCTGTGTCACTTAGTGATTTAGCTAAATTTTGGTAACTCCACATATGCTTTATGAACAGAAATGGAGTGAAGAGAATAGATGTTTTTCTTCAACTTTTATCTGGAGAATTAATTTATACTACTTCCTAAACAAATCTCTTTACTTTTTATGTGATAACAAAACAGGCTTTTTAGCATTCGATACACATTGGCTGCAAGACTTCTTCCTTTTCCTTGATAAATGTCGTTGCTTCTCTCTCCAAAACTACTTCAACATCCTACAAAAAATAGAATTCAGAAACAATATAGCTCTGGGAGAGAGCAGAAATTCTCTAGAAAAAAAACGTTAAAGACAAGAACTATTTCTAGGTGTCTTATATCTTTGTCTCTGAACAAAACTGGATTCAGAGTGGCACAACCAGGATCATGATCAGCTCTTATAAATCATTTCCTCAAGATGTGCTAAGGTTGTTTCTGCAAGCAATGGAAAAAAGTAATTTGAAAGTAACTTCTGACTTACAACTGTAGCCAATCCTTTTTGTCATATGGTTTCAATGAGTTCTTTGTATCCTTCCTCTTTTCTCCCCATTCACTTCCACAGACATAGCCTGGCACAAACTCATTATTTTTAAATATAGAGACATGAGCTTGAAAATAAAACTCATAAATTAAGCAAATGATGTTTAAAAATGCAAACCTGTTGTCCTTATCTTATTTGGTCACAGCAATCTATGATAAAATATAATTTTCAGTGCCAAGTATATGGATCCAATTTTTACTTGCTCACATATTGCATAATAAACATAAATGATTTTACATGTTGCTCCCTAGATCAAATACAATCTGATAAGTCCAAATGCAGTAATGGCAGGTATATAATAATTTCAAAAGCAATCTGTTTATACTTTAATTGTGCTTCTGTTTAATTTTCTGCAACTCATGCTGCATTTTTTTAATATAACATTTTAAGGTTGTCTTAAGTCTACTATTTTGAGTAAGTCTGAAGTACACACTAGAGTCCAACTGCATTGCATTTAAAACAAAGACTGTGCAAAATAAAGTCAATCAGACTTTACAAAAGGGGTCAAAAGAGCAGTTGGGTATTTATGTGTGTAAGTATGTCTGTATGTTAGTGGATAAAAGTCTTAATGAACCACAAAGTTAGACCCAGACAGATGCAATTAGACTTAATTTCTATGTAGTGAAAGGAAACGACACGAAGGAAATTTACAGTGTATTTTGTGTCCATTTAATGGCCAATAGTTGATGTAACAATATTACTGTTTTGAATTCCTAAGAGAAGCTGAGGTAGTTGGTTAGTGAAAATTCTAAGGTATTGGATAAAGACATTTGAAACAAAGTACTTTGTTTCTTCATAATTTTGTATATTATGTGAAGGATGTGGACTTTCTTTTCATTAGACATACTTGCTTGTCATATGTGACACTATGTCAGTATGTAAGCAGCAAAAACACAAAATAAAAAGATGATAAAATCTGCAAAGCGGTGGAAATTGTAAACAAGGCTAGAGACTGTGCTCAAGCTGTGAGTCCTCCTCTGGAAATCATCAATAATCTTGTTCTATTTTTTTCCACAGCCCCCCAAAAAGAATCCCAAGTCAAATTTCACCTTTCACTGTGTTTTATTACTAATATACATTATTTAATCCCATTTTTAATGTTGTCATATCAGCAACTTTTACTCTTATTTATATAATAACAACCACTTCCTGTGGGTAATTGGGGCAGTTCCAGGATAAATAAATTCATTGTATGCCATCATCTATGTATACTATATAGAGTCAAAGCAAAAGAGTCCTCTAATTTATGATCTTTCAAATTCATGTACCCTCCAAATTTTAAATAGGTTATGCAGATACATAACAGCTTCATAGACCCATTGGTGATTACTATACAAACAATAATGGAAATATTGGAATACATGTGCATTCACTCATGCACACACACATGAAGGGTCCTCAAAAAGTTTATGAAAATGCATATTACATAAAATTATGCATGAATTTTAATATAGTTCGAATATTTTTCCTTCCAACTCTCATGTGAAAATTGTATTCCTGACGTCGGATAACATATCCAAATTTCATTTTCAAATTTGATCCCTGAGCCTAATGGGAGGTGTTTGGGTAATGGGGGCAGATCCCTCATAAATGGCTTGGTACTTACCAACCCCTTGGTAATGAGTGAGTTCTTTATTAGTTCACTGGAGATCTGGATGTTAAAAGAGTCTGGGACCACTCTCCTGTCTACTTCTTGCTCCTTTCTCACCAAGTGACACTGTTGATATCTTTTCTCTTTCCACCATGATTGTAAGCTTCCTGAGGCCCTCACCAGAAGCAGACAATGATGCCATGCTTCTTGTACAACCTGCAAAACTATTAAGCAAATAAACTTCTTTATAAATTATCAAGCCTCAGGTATTCCTTTATAGCAACACAAAATGAACTGACACAGATAATTTGTACTGAGGAGTGGAACATTGCTATAAAGATACCTGAAAATGTGGAGGTGGATTTAGAACTAGTGATGTGCAGAAGTTGGAGGAGTTTGGAGGACTTAAAAAAAAAAAAAAAAACCCAGAAAGATGAGAGAAAGTTTGAAACTTGTTAGAGACTGCTTAATTGGTTGTGACCACAATGGTGCTAGAAATGTGGGTAGTGAAGGTCAGGCTGATAAGGTCTCAGATGGAAATAAGAAATTTATTGGAACCTGGAGCAAAGGTTACCGTTGTTATACCCTAGAAAGGAATTCGCCTTCATTGTGTCCATGTTTGAGGACTCTGTGGAAGGCTGAACTTAAAAGTGATAATTTAGGATATCTGGCAAAAGATATATATATATATGTATATGAAAGTGATGTGGCTGCTTCTAAGAGCTTATGATTGGATATGGGAGCAAAGCAATAACAAAGTTGTTACTTACAATAGTTAAAATGGAAGCAGAGCCTAAACATTTGAAAAATTCACAGGCTGGCCATGTGGTAGAAAAGGAAAAACTGTTTTCAGGCAAGAAAGCCTGTGGAGCAACCACTTGCTAGAGAGAATAAAATGACTAAATAGGAGTCAAGTGCTAATAGTAAGAACAATAGGAAAAAAAAATTCCAAAGACATTTCAGAAATGTTGAAAGCAACCCTTCTTATTACAGGCCCAAAAGCCTAATAGAAAGACTGCTTTCAGGAGTTAGGTTCAGAGCACTACTGCCTTGTGCTGCTTTGGGCTGCTGCTCTCTACATTTCCATTGCTCTTGTTAAAGGGCCCTAGGCACAGCTTGGGCTGTTGCTTCACAGGGTACAATCCATAAGCCCTGACGGCTTCCACATGGTGTTAAGCCTGTAGGCACAGAGAATGCAAGGGCCACAGAGGCTTGGTAGCGTCCACCCAGATTTCAGAGGATGTGTGGGAAAGCCTGGGTGCCTAAGCAGAAGACTGCAGTAAGGGCAAATTCCCTGCAGAGAGCCTATACTGAGTCATTGTCAAAGAGGAAAAGTGTGAGCTTGGAGGCCCCATAAGTTTCTCCACCAGGGCCCTGGCTAGTGGAGCTGTGGGCATAGGATCATCACCCATACTGAAGAATGGTACAACTACTGGCAGTGTACAGCCTCAGGCTTGAAAAACTGCAGACATTTGACTCCAAACCTGGAGAGCAGCCAGGTGGGCTGTGCCCAGCAAAGCCATAGGGATATGGCTAGACAAGGCCTCAGGAGCTCACCTGTGTCCCCAGGATGTGGGAAATGGAGACAAGGGAGATGATTTTGAAGCTTTAAAACTTAATGTCGGCCAGTCACGGTGGCTCACGCGTGTAATCCCAGCACTTTGGGAGGCCATGCGGGCGGATCACGAGGTCAGGAGATTGAGACAATCCTGGCCAAAATGGTGAAACCCTGTCTCTACTAAAAATGCAAAAAGTTAGCTGGGCGTGGTGGCAGGTGCCTGTAATTCCAGCTATTCAGGAGGCTGAGGCAGGAAAATTGCTTGAACCAGGGAGTCGGAGGTTGCAGTGAGCCAAGATCGTGCCACTGCACTCTGGCCTGTGACAGAGCGAGATTCCATCTCAAAAAAAAAAAAAAAAAAAAAACCCACACCTTAATGTCTGCCCTGCTGGGTTTCAGACTTGCTTGTGGGCCTACTGCCCTTCTTGTTTGACTGATTTTCTGCTTTTTAAATGAAAATATTTACCTAATGCCCATGCCACCATTGTATCTTTTAAATTAAAAACTTAAAAAAAAATCTTACAGACTTACAGGTACAAGTAACTGTCTTTGCGTCTCAGATGAGACTTTGAACTTTTGACTTTTCAGTTGATGCTTTAAATAAGTTAACACTTTTAGGGTCAAATGCAGGGCTAGTACCTATAATCCCAGTACTTTGGAAGGCCTAGGCAGAAGCATCACTTGAGGTCGGGAGTTTGAGACCATCCTGCACAACAAAGTGAGACCCTCGTCTCTACAAAAAATAAAAATAATAAAATAGCCAGGCATGGTGGCACACTCCTATAATCACAGGTAGAGCTACACTTCATTGTTATTAGAAACTACAAATCCATTAATAATATTTTGTCTTACAAAATTAATTATTGTAGGTTTTATTTATTGTAATATTTCATATCTGTTAACATATTATCTTTAAATCATTATAGTGAAGTAGTCTAAAAATTATAGTTTACAGATAAATTATAAAGGAAGATATAATTAACATTTTCCAAGGTACTAACTTTTTAATTAAAGAACTAAATAAAAATCTTTCTGGCTCCCAATCATATATTTCTTCTATTAGACTACACATTGTTTCCATTTCAGATTAATTCTTCTGGGGGATAAGGTGAATTCACACTCGGCCTCAATTCCAGCATCTTTCTTGGATTTCTTTGTATACTTTGTAGACTGGAAAGCTAAAAACTACATTTTTTAATGTCCTTTGGAACTAAAAATCTAGATATAAATTAGGGTCCATTAATTGGAAAGTCACTTTAAAATTCTTTTCTAGAGGCTTTGTGGGGAGACTGACTTTTCTGACAACCAGATTTTAGACTTTTGGCATTCAGAACTGTGAGAAAACAAACACATTTATTTTTGCCATGCAGATGATGGTAATTTATTAAAACCCCCTAGGCAACTACTACAGACAGAAAATGATATCATATGGATACTCTCATGGATACTCTGAAAACTGAAAAGAAAATGAAAATAGTGAATGCCAGGTTAAATAAAATATATTGCTTTTTAATTACATAATTTTTAATGCAAATGCTTATTTGATGCAAATATTAGAGCATTTTATTGTGGGATTAATAACTATTGAAGTACTATATAAAAGGGAGCATAACATATGAGGAGAATCAATAGACCCATAGAGTTGCAAAGATTGTGGAGCTTATGTGAGATTATAAGGTAATACCACTGAGTAGAATGAGAAAAGTTAAGGGTGCAAATTGTAATCTATACAGCAACCCTTATAATAGAATGCAGAGATATAGCTAAATGCTAACACATATGATATGGTTTGGCTGTGTCCCCACCCAAATATCACCTTGAACTGTAATAATCCCCACATGTCAAAGGTGGGGCCAGGTGGAGATAATTGAATCATGGAGGTGGTTTCCCCCATATTGTTCTTGTGGTAGTGAGTAAGTCTTATGAGATTTGATTGTTTTATAAATGGGACTTCCCCTGCACAAGCTGTCTTGCCTGCCACCATATAAGACATGACTTTGCTTATCCTTTGCCTTCTGCCATGGTTGTGAGGCCTCCCTGGCCATGTGGAACTGTGAGTTCATTAAATCACTTTACTTTATAAATTACCCAGTCTCTGGTATGTCTTTATTAGCAGCATGAGCACAGACTAATACAACATAATTTCAATTGCATTTTAATAAATTATTCATGTAACCCAAAATAATGCAGAAAATAAAGAATAAAGTAACAATGAAAAAACAACAGCCACAAAAGAAAAAACAGCAAACTGCTAGACCTGATTTTAACCATACCAATAGTTCCAGTAAATAAAATTATAATTTAATTTAATGGCAGAGTTTTTTGAGTGAATAAATGTAAACGTCTAACTCTGTGTTGTCTATAAGGCATGTTCACAGATAAGTTGAAAATAAATTGATTGAAAATGGGTCAAAATTCCCATGCTGATCCGTACTGGGATTGCACCTCTGTATAGTCACTGCACTCTAGGAAACATAAGGAGATCAATCTCTAAAATACATAAATACTTTAATAAATGAATAGGTTATAGTGATGATATTATCAGTTGGAATATACTTAAAGACAAACTGTATTATCAGTGATAAAGATGGTCAGTTCATAAAGGTAGTAATTTCAATTCATCCAAAAGACAAAACAGTCCTTAAAGTGTATGTATATACTAACATAAATTCAAAGTCATAAAGCAAGTAGACTGAATTCAAGGGAGAAATTGACAATTATGAAAGCATAATTAGATCACTTCCTTGATTCGGAAGTGTGAGTCACCACATCCTTCCTGTGCAGAATCCTGGTGCAGGGAGGGCCCCTCTCTGTTCCATACCCAGGCATATCTCCAGGCATTTGGAGCACCTGCTTGTCCAGATTGACAGCCTAAGTCACACAATATTTTCTGTGCAAAGATATGAGGGCACTGGGGTCTCCTCCACTGCATGCCCAGGCAGATCTCCAGACAAGTGGAGCACCCACTCACCTTTTTTAGCACTCTCAGTTGCCCACCCTTCCTGGGAAGAGTCCGTGATGCAGCCAGGTTCTCTCTGTTCCATGCCCAGGCATTTCTCCAGGCATGCAAAACACCTGCCCATTTGGATTGGCAGCCTGAGCTGTCCCACTCATCCTGCACAGAAATCATTGTGCAGTGGGGCCCTCTTTGCTACACACCCAGACATATCTCCAAGCACTCAGAGCACTTAGTCACCTGGACCAGTAGCCCGAACTCACACCCTGTTTTTGCAGAGATTGTGGTGAAGCATGACCTTTTCCACCCCATGCACAGTCATATCTCCAGGTATTTGGAGCACCCACTCACCTGAATCAGCAGGCTGAGTTCACCCACGTTTCCAGTACAGAGACCATGGTGAAGTGAAGCCCTATACGTCCCATGCCCAGGCATATCTCAGGCAGTTGGAGCATACATTCACCCGGTTTAGCAGCCTGAGCTGTTCCACCATTCCCATGAAAAACAAAAAAAATGCAGTTCAGTGAGGCCATCTACGCTCCACACCATGGCAGATCTTTAGGCATATCGAGCACACACTCTCCTGGATTGGGAGCATAGGCCACCCACCCTCCCCAGACACAGAATTTAGCGCTGAGAAGGTTTCCAGCTGCATGGATGCTTGGCCTCTGGGTGCTTGGAGGCCACCATCAAGATTGTCCCTTGGTGATGGTACTTGTGTTTGCCACCTGGGGAGATGTAGGTGGGCATGCTGAGTCCAGCGCCACCCATCTTGACCTCTAATTCCATGGGGCTGAGAGGATAGCTCAGACCACTGTGCACTCCATAGATTAGTTTGTTCCTTGAGGCAACAGAGAGCTTTTCCCAGTAAGTAAGAATCAAGTATATACCTAGCTGCATTGGCCACATCCAGCTCCTCCACATTACCACCATTTACTGGCTTGTAGGTCAGAATTCACAGCCCAATATAAAATCTGCTGAAGAAGTGCATAGGGCTAAGAAACAAAGCCGAAATACCCTACCCAACATTCTCTGTAATCACAATCCCTAGGGACGGAAGGAAAGGGAAAAGAAAACAAACAAACAAATAAACAATATTGTAGTTTTAAAGAATGAAAAAACAATTCTACCCTCTGAAAATAATAACAAAATGTAGAAGTTCTAGCATCACCAGATGAGAAGGAACTACTGAAAGAATTCAAGCATCATAAAAAAATCTAAATGTAGTGACACCACAAAAGGATCACACTAGATCTTCAGCAATGGTCCTTTATCAAAATGAAAACTCGGAACTGACAGATAAATAATTCAAAGCATGGATTGCAGGGAAACTCTATGAGATCCAAGACAAAGTAGAAAATTAAACACACACACACACACACACACACACACACACACAAAACTTGCAAGGCAATCCAGAACATGAAGGGACACACATCGTTTTTTTGTTTGTCTGTTTTGTTTTTTTGAGATGGAGTCTCACTCTGTCGCCCAGGCTGGAGTGCAGTGCCGCGATCTCAGCTCACTGCAACCTCTGCCTCCTGGGTTCAAGCAATTCTCCTGCCTCAGCCTCCCTAGGAGCTGGGATTACAGGCGCCCACCACCACACTCAGCTAATTTTTGTATTTTAGTAGAGTAGGGGTTTTACCATGTTGGCCCAGCTAGTCTCAAACTCTTGACCTCAAACAATCCATCCGCCTTGGCCTCCCGAAGTGCTGGGATTACAGCCGTGAGCCACCGCGCCCGGCCAAGACACACATCCTAAAATGAAATCCATCAAAGCTTCTGGAATTAACAAACTCGCATAAGGAATTTCAAAATACAATTGAAAGCTTTTTCAATAGACTAGACAAAGCAGTAGAAAGAATTTCAGAACTTGAAGACCAGTCTTTCTGTTGTCAGAAAAAAATTTTAAACCCAGCCAGGAAAAAAAAAAATAATAATAATTAAGAAAATGAACAAGTCTACAGGCAATATGGGCTTATGTCAAGTGACCAAACCAATGAATTATTGGCATTCTTGAGACAAAACAAAAACAAGTAAACAGCCTGGAAAATGTATTTAAGAGAATAGTTCAAAATTATATTTAATCTTGCTAGAGAGTTGGAAATCCAAATAAAACAAAGCCAGACGACACTTGCGAGATATTATACAAAATGAACATCACCAAAGTATATAGTCACCAGACTGTCCAAGGTAAATACAAAAGAGGAAAATTTCAAGGAAGCTAGAGAAAACATCAAACATGTACAAAGGGAATGCCATCAGACTAACAGCAGATTTCTCAGCAGAAACTTTACAAGCCAGGAAATGTTGGGGGCCTATTTGCAACATTAAAAAAAAAATTGCAACCAAGAATCTCATATCCCAACAAACTAGGCTTAATAAGTGAAGAAGACATAAAATCTTTTGCAGATGAGCAAGTACTAAGGTAATTCATCACAAGACCAGAATTACAAGACCTAGTTAAGGTATTCTCAACATTAAGTCAAAAGAATAATACCTGCTACCACAAAAAACCACGTACATAACCGACAGAACCAATAAAGTAATGACAAATTAAAATCTATGAAGCAACCAGCTATCAACGACAGGATCAAAACCTCACATATCAATATTAACCTTCAATGTACATAGTATAAACACCCTACTTAAAAGGCACAGAGTGGTAAGTTGAATGAAAAAAAAAATGCCCATCTGCTATCTACAAAAAATCTATCTCAGATGAAACAACATCTATAGGCTCAAAGTAAGGGCTTGGAGAAAGATCTATCACGCAAACAGTAAACAAAATAACCAAGAGTAGCTATTACTATATCAGGTAAAATAGATTTTAAACCAAAAGCAGTTAAAAGGACAAAGTAGGGTGTTACATAATCGTAATGGGTTTAATTCAACAGGAAAACTTAACTATCCTACGTATATAAGCACCCAACATTTTAGAAGCCAGATTAATTTACAAAGTACTTCCAGACCTACAAAAAGACTCAAACAGCTACACAATAATAGTGTGGGACTTCAACACCTCACTGACAGCATCAGTCAGATTATTGTGTCAGAAAACTGCTATAGAAATTTTGGACTGAATTTCTGCATTGAACCTAAGAGACATCTACAACATACTCTACCAATTAACCACAGAATATACATTCTTTTCATCACCGCACATAACATACTCTATTGACCAAGTCATTGACCTCATAGCAAGTCTCAATGAATTTTTTAAAAATTAAAATCATACCAATGATGTTTTCAGACCATTGTGGAATAAAAACAGCAATCAATACCAAGATCTCTCAAAACCGTAAAATTATATGGAAATCAAACATTTTTGTCCTGAGTGAATTTTTGGTAAAAAAAAAAAATTAAAGCAGAAATAAAAAATATTTCAAGTAAAAGAGAACAGAGACACAACATACCACAATCTCTGTGATGCAGCAAAAACTGTTAAGAGGAATGTTTACAACACTAAACATTTACATGAAAAAGTCAGAAAGATCGAAAATTAACGATCCAACATCACACCTAGGGGAACTAGAAAAACAAGAACAAACTAACTCCAAAGCCCACGTGAGAGAAAATAAATAACTAAAATCAGAGCAGTACTGAACAGAAGTGAATCCTAAAAATTCATACAAAGAATAAATGAAACTAAAATTTGGATCTTTGAACAGATTAAAAAATCAATAGAACACTAGCTATGTTAACAAAAATAAAAGGGAAAAGATACAAATAAGCGCAATCAGAAATGGCAAAGGTCACATTACAACTGATCTCATGGAAATCCAAAAGATCCTCAGAGAATATTATGAACATCTCTATGCACACAAACTAGAAGATTTAGAAGAAATGGATAAATTCCTGAAAGCACACAACCTTCTAAGATTGAACTGGAAAAAAAATTGAGATCGTGAACAGGCGAATAGCGTGTTCCAAAACTGAATTAGTAATAAATAAAAATCCTACCATCCAATAAAAGCCACAGACCAGATTAATTCACAGTCAAATTCCACCAGATGTACAAAAAGACATGATACCAATCCTATGGAATATCTTGTAAAACCTCAAGGAGAAGGGACTCTTTCATAACTCATCCTTTGAAGCCAGAATCACCCTCTTATCAAAACCTGGCAAAAACACACACAAAGAAGAAAACTATGGGACAATATTCTTGATGAAGATAGATGCAAAAATTTTTACAAAATATTAACAAACTTAACCCGGCAGCACATCAAAAAGTATGTTCATCATAATCAGGTAGGCTTGTTTGATGGGATGCTCAGTTGGTTTAACATAGACAAATGAATAAATATTATTTGCCACATGAACATAATTAAAAATAAATCATATACAAGCATCTCAATAGATGTAGAAAGTTTTAAACATACACAAGCATCTCAATAGACGTAGAAAGTTTTTTTTTTAGTTTCCAGATCTTATATTTTTATTTTATTTTTAAAGTTATTTTTAATTTTTGTGGGTATAGAGTAGATGTATATATTTATAAGGTACATGAAATGCTTTGATACAGGCATGCAATGTAAAATAATTATATCATGGAGAATCGGTTATTCATCCCCTCAAGCATTTATCCTTTGCGTTACAAACAATCCAATTACACTCTTTTAGTTATTTTAATATGTACAACTAAGTTATATTGACTATAGTCATCCTGTTATGTTATCAAATGGTAGATCTTATTATTTCTTTCTACTTTTCACACCCAGTAATCCTCCCTATCTCCCCCACATCAATTCCACAACTACCCTGCCCATCCTATGGTAACCCTTCTACTCTATATGTCCATGAGCTCAATTGTTTTGATTTTAGATCCCTTAAATAAGTGAGAATACATGATGATTGACTTTCTGTGCCTGGCTTATTTCACTTAACATAATGATCTCCCATTTCATCCATGTTGTTGCAAATGACAGGATCTCATTTTTTTTTAAGGCTGAATGGAACTCCATTGTTTATGTTCTTTTCCTTTCTTCTGTTATTGAGCACTTAGGTTGCTTCCAAATCTTAGCTATTGTAAACAGTGCTGGAACAAATATGGGGGTGCAGATATCTCTTTGATATACTGATTTTCTTTTTTGGGGGGCAGGGGGGATTTAAACCCAGCAGTGGGATTGCTGGATCATATGGTAGCTCTATTTTTAGTTTTTTGAGGATGCTGCAAACTTTTCTCCGTAGTGTGTATACTAATCTATATTCCCATCAACAGCGTATGAGGAGTCCCTTTTATCCACCTCTTCACCAGTATTTGTTATTGCCTGTCTTTTGGATATAAACCATTTTAACTGGAATGAAATAGGAAACACATAATTGTTTTGATTTGCACTTGTCTGATGACCAATTATGTTGATATCTTTTTCATATGTCTGTTTTCCATTTGTAGGTCTTTTTATCAGAAATACCTGTTCAAATCTATTGACCATTATTTTATCAGATTATTAGATTATTTTTCTTATAAAGTTGTTGGAGTTCCTTATATAGTCTCGTTATTAATCCCTTGTCAGATGGATATTTTGCAAATATTTTGTCTCACTCTGTGGATTGTCTCTTCACTTTATTAATTGTTTACTTTGGTGTGCAGAAGCTTCTTATCTTGATGCAATCCAACATGTCCATTTTTGCTTCCGTTGTCTGTGCTTACAGAGTATGGCTCAAGACACTTTTGCCCAGACCAATGTGCTGAAGAGCTACCCCAATATTTTCTTGTGGTTGTTTAATAATTTAAGGTTTTTTATTTAAGTCATTAGTACATTTTGATTTGATTTCTGTATATGGTGAGAGATGGGGTGTAGTTTCATTCTTTGCCCTATAGATGTTCATTTTCCCCGCCACCATTTATTGAAGAGAAGAGGCTGTCTTTTCCCCAGTGTATATTCTGGGCACCTCTGTTGAAAATGAGTTTAGTGTAGGTGTGTGGATTTGTTTCTGGGTTCTCTATTTGTTTCCATTGGTCTTTTTATCTGTTTTTATACCAGCACCATGCTTTTTTGGTTACTGCAGCTCTGTAGTATAATTTGAAGTCAGGTAATGTGATACATCCCACTTGGTTGTGATGAATGATGATTCTAAAGATGATTGCTCATCTATACCATGATCATTCTAAATGTATTGTTGAATTTGCTTTGCTAATATTGTGTTGAGGATTTTTTGCACCAATATTCATTGGAGTTAATGGCCTTTAGTTTTCTTCTTCTTCTTTTTTTTTTTTTTTTAAACTGTCTTTTTCTGGTGTTGGTATCAGGATAAAACTGGCCTTGTAGAATACATTTGAAATTATTCCCTTCTCCTCTATTTTTCAGAATAGTTTAAGTAATTGGTACGAATTATTCTTTAAGTGGTTGGCAGAATTCAGCAGTGAAGTAATTGGGTCCTGGGCTTTTCTTTACTT
Organism: Homo sapiens; assembly: GCF_000001405.40. Taxonomy (NCBI): domain Eukaryota; kingdom Metazoa; phylum Chordata; class Mammalia; order Primates; family Hominidae; genus Homo; species Homo sapiens. The sequence goes on along the minus strand of NC_000023.11, from coordinate 88,729,857 downwards.
GTAGGAGTTGTTTTATTATGGCTTCAATGTCATTACTTGTTATTGGTATGTTCAGGTTTTGGATTTCTACATGGTTCAGTCTCAGTAGGTTGTGTTTGTTTGGAATTTGTCCACTTCTAGGTTTTTCAAATTATTGGCATATGGTTGCTCATAGTAGCCACTAATGATCCTTTGAATTTCTGCAGTATCAATTGTAATGTTTCCTTTTTCATTTATGATTTTATTTATTTGTATCTTCTTTCATTTTTGTTATGCTGGCTAAAAAATTGTCAGTTTTGTTTCACTTTTGAAAGAAACAACTTTTTGTTTTATTGGTATTTTGTATTGTTTTCTTCATTTTAATTTTATTCATTTCGTCCCTGATTTTTATTTCTATTCTTATACTAATTTGGGGTTTGGTTTACTCTTTCTTTTCTTATTCTTTAAGATGTACTGTTAGATTGTTTATTTGAACATTTTTCTCTTTTGTGATTTAGGCACTTATAGCTATAAACTGCTAAAAAGTAAAAGTATAAAAGGACTGCTTTTGCTATATTTCATAGGTTTTGGTATATTGTGTTTCTATTATCATTTGTTTTATGACATTTTTCAATTTTCTTCTTAATTACTTCATTGACCCACTGGTCATTCAGCAGCTGTTGTTTAATTTCCATGTATTTGTATGGTTTCCAAGATTACTTTTGTTATCAATTTCTAGTTTTATTCCACTGTGGTCAGAGAAGATACTTGATATTATTTTAATATTTTGAGTATTTTGACACTTGTTTTTTGACTTAAGATATTGTGTGTCCTTGATAATGATCCATATGTTGAGAAAAAGTACATGTATTCTGCAGCCATTGGATAAAATGTTCTTTATATATCTGTTAAGTCCATTTGGTCTATAGTACAGACTAAGTCTGATGTTTCTTTGTTGACTTTCTATCTTGAATGTATGTCCAATGCTGAAAGTGAGGTGTTGAAGTCTCCAGCTATTATTGTGTCAGAGCTTATTCCTCTCTTTATCACTAATAATATTTCTTTATATATCTGCATGCTCTAGTGTTGGCTGTATATATATTTAAAATTGATACATCCTCTTGCTAAATTGACCTCTTTATCATTATATAGTAACCTCATGTGTCTCTTATAGTTTTTGTCTTGAAATCTATTTTGTTTGATATATATGCTCCTGCTTTTGGTTAGTTTCCATTGAAATGGAATATATATTTCCATCCCTTCATATTCAGTCTGTGTGTGTCTTTATAGGTGAAGTCTGTTTCTTGTAGGCAACAGATCAATAGGTCTCGTTTTATCACTCATTCAACTAGTCTATGTGTATTGATTTGAGAGTTTAGTCCATCTACATTTCATATTATTGATAGGTAAGGACTTACTCCTGCCATTCTATTATTTCTTTTCTGATTCTTTTGTGGACTATTTTTTTTCTTTCTTTTCTTCCTGTGTTCCTTTATTAAAGGTCACTTTCTCAGGTGGTATGATGTAGTTTCTCTGTGTCTCCATTGTATGTTTTTTTGGTTTGAGGTTACCCTGAGACTTGCAAATCATATAACTTATTATTTTAACCTGATAAGAACTTAACACGGTTTGCATAAACCAACAAATATGCGAGTAAAAAGCAAACTAAGAAAAACCCTACACCTTAATTTTATCCCCATGATTTTTAGCATTTTGTTATTTCTATTTATATCTTATTCTACTATCTATGTCTTGAAAATTTGTTGTAGTTATTATTGCTTATTGGCTTACCATTTAGTCTTTCTACTTAAGATAAGAGTAGTTTACACACCACAGTCACAGTGTTAAAATACTCTGGATATGGTTTGGATCTGTGTCCCCACCAAATCTCATGTTGAATTATAATCTCCAATGTTGCAGGTGGGGCATAGTGGGAGGTGATTAGATTGTGGGGGTGGATTTCTCATGAATGTTCTGGCACCATCTCCTCTTGGTATTGTTCTTGTCATAGTGAGTGAGTTCTCATGTGATCTGTTTCTTTAAATGTGTGTAGTACCTCCCACTTTAGTCTCTCTTGCTCCTTCTCTGGCTGTAAAAATTGCTTCTCCCCCTTTGCCTTCCACCATGATTGTAAGTTTCCTGAGGTCTCTCCAGAAGTCAAGCAGATGCCAGCATATGCTTCTTGTATAACCTGTGTAAACATTAGCCAATTAAACCTCTTTTCTTTATAAAATACTCAGTCTCAGATATTTCGTTAAAGCAATGTGTGAATGAACTAACACAGAAAAATTGGTAACAAGGATTGAGGCATTGCTATAAAAATACCTGAATGTGCAAGCAGCTTTGCAGGGTTGGATTGGGTAACAGGCAGAAGTTGGAAGATTGTGGATGGCTCAGAAGTAGCCAGGAAGATGAGAAAAAATTGAAACTTTCAAGAGACCTTTTGACCCAAACGCTGATTATAGTATGGACAATGAAAGACAAATGATGAAACCTCAGATAGAAATAAGGAATGTATTTGGAGCTAGAGCAAGTGTCATGCATGTTATGACTTAGCAAAAAGTTTGGCTGCATTGTGCTCCTGTCTTAAGTATCTGTGAAACTTTGAACTTGAGAACAAAAATTTAGGGTATCTGGGGAAAAATATTTCTAATTGGAAAAGCATTCAAGATGTGGCCTGGCTGTTTACCATCCTCTGCTAATATGTATAAGCAAAGAAAAGATGTAAAACTCAAACTTATATTTAAAAGGAAAGCAGAGTGTTAAAGTTTGGAAAATTTGCACCCTGACCATGTGTTAGAAAAGAAAAGCTAATTTTTAGGGGAAGAATTCAAGCAGGTTGCAGACACATGCATAAGTAAAAAGGAGCCAAGGCTGATAGCCAAGACAATGGGAAAAAGGTCTTGAAGACATTGCAACGACCTTTGAGGCAGCCCCTCCCATCACATGCCCAGAGGCTTAGAAGAAAAGAATGGTTTCCTGGGCCAGCCCAAAGGCCCTGCTGCCCTGAACAACTTCAGTATATGGCTTCTTGCATCGGGGCTCCTCTGGCTGCAGCCTTGACTCAAAGGGCCCTAGGTACAGCTAGGGTTGCTGCTTCAGAAAGTGCAAACAGTAGGCCTTGGCAGCTTCCATGTCGTTTAAGCCTGAAGGTGCACAGAATGTAAGATTTGAGGCTTTGGAGCCTCTGCCTAGATGTCAGAAAATGTATAGAAAAGCTTGGATGCCCAAGAAGAAGGCTGCTGCAGGAGTGGAGCTCTCATGGAGAACCTCTACTAGGGCAATATGGAGGGAAAATGTGGGGTTGGAGACCTCACACAGAGTCCTCACTGGGGCACTACCTAGTGGAGCTCTGATAAGAGGACCATCATTTTCCAGAACCCTGAATTGTAGATCCACCAGCAGCTTGTTCCCTCAGCCTGGCACACAATGCCAGCCCTTGATAGCAGCCTTGGGTTCTGAACCCTGCAAAACCACAGTGGTGGAGCTGCCCAAGGCCTTGGAAGCCTACCCCTCACACTATTCTGCCCTGAATCTGGGACATGTAATTGAAGAATATTATTTTGGAGCTTTAAGATTTAATGGCTACCCTTCTGGGTTTCAAAACTCCATGGGGTCTGTAGCTCTTTTGTTTTGGCCTATGTCTCCTTTTTGAAGTAGGGGTATTTACACAATGCCTGTATCCCCATTGTGTCTTAGGAGTAACTAACTTGTTTTTGACTTTACATGCTCATAGGTGGAAGAGTCTAACCTTGTCTCAGATGAGACTTTGGACTTTAGACATTTGAGTTAATGCTGAAATAAGTTAAGACTTTGGGAAACTGTTGAGGAAGGCATGATTGTAATTTGCAATGTGAGAAAGAAATGAGATTTGGGAGGGGCCAGGGCTAGAACGATATGGTTTGGATTAGTGTCCCCACAAAATCTCATGTCAAATTGTAAACCCCAATGTTGGAGGTGGGGTTTGATTGGAGGTGATAGAATAATGGGGATGGATTCCTCATGAATGTTTCAGCACCATCTCCACTTGGTACTACTGTTCTCATAACATTGAGTGAGTTTGTATGAGATTTGATTGTTTAAAAGTGTGGAGAAACTCCCCCTTCCCTCTCTCTTGCTCCTTCTCTGGCCATATGAACTACTCCCTCTTTGCCTCCTGCCATGATTGTCAGTTTCCTGAGATTGACCCAGAAGCTGAGAAGATGCCAGCATCATGCTTCCTATACAGTCTGTGAAATTGTGAGCAAATTAAACCTCTTATTTAAATAAACTGACCAGTCTCAGATATTTGATTATAGCAATGTGAGAACAAACTAATAACGGTGGTTTTGTTTTTTTCTGTGTACTTACTATTTCAGTCAGTTTTATACCTTAAGGTGATTATTTACTGCCCATTAACATCCTTTTCTTTCTGATTGAAGTACTCCCTTTAGCATTTCTTGTAGGACAGATCTGGTGTTAATGAAATCTCTTAGATTTTTGTGTGTGTGTTGGAAAGTCTGTATTTCTCCCTCATGTTTGAAGTACATTTTCACCAGATATACTTTTTCAGGATAAATGATTATTTTTTCCTTCAGCACTTCAATATGTAATGTCAACCTCTCCTGACCTGTAAGGTTTCCAATGAAAATTCTTCTGCCAGATGTATTAGATCTTCATTGTACTTTATTAGTTTCTTTTCTCTTGCTGCTTTTGGAGTCCTTTCTTTACACTTGATTTTTGGGAATTTGATTATTACATGCCTTGAGGTAATATTCTTTGGGTTCAATCTCCTTGTTATTCTTCTTGTACTTGGATGCTGATATCTTTGTCTGTTTGGGAAGCTCTGTTATTATCATTTTGAATAAATTTTGCACCCCTATCTCTATCTCTACCTCCTACTTAATGCCAGTAACTCTTAGATTTGCCCTTTTGAAGCTATTTTCTATGTCCTGTAGGCGTGCTTATTTTTTTATTCTTTGTTCTTTTGTCTCCTCTGACTGTGTGTTTTTAAAAAGACTGTCTTTAAGCTTATTAATTCTTTCTTCAACTTGATCAAATTTTCTCTTAAAAGACTCTAATTCTTTAGTATGTCAAATGCATTTTTCGGCCCCCACATTTCTTCTTGATTCAATTATTTCAAGATCTATGTTTAATTTATCTGATAAAATTATGAATGTCTTCCGTGCTATCTTGAATTTCTTTGAATATTCTCAACACAGCTATTTCAAATTCTTGGTCTGAAAGGTCACATATGTGTGCTTGTTCATGATAGGTCAATGGTGACTTATTAAGTTGATTTTGTGAGGTCATGTTTTCCTTGATGGCGTTGATGCTAGTAGATGTTTTTCAGCATCTAGGCATTGAAGAATTCAGTATTTATTGTGGTCTTCACAGTCTGGGCTTGTTTGTACCTATCCTCCCTGGGAAGGCTTTCCAGATATTTTAAAAAACTTGGATATTGTGATCTAAGCTGTGTCTGCTTTAAGGTGCACCCCAAGCCCAGTAACAACGTAGTTCTTGCAGACTCCTAGAGATATTGTCTTGATGGTCATGGACAAGGTACAGGAGAAACCTCTGAAATACCGAGCAGAGACTCTTGTTCTCTTCTCTTCCTTTCTTCCAAACAAATGGAGTCTCTATGTTCTGAGCCACCTAAAGCTGGTGTCACAAGCAACCCTGACATTCTGTGGCTACAGCCAATTATTGCTCAAACCCTGCAGCTCTACAATCAGAAGGTGGCAAAGTCAGCTAGGCCCGTGTCCCTTCCTTCAGAGCAGCAAGTTCGCCCAAGCCGTGGGTGGGTCCAGAGGTGCTGTTTTGGGAGACAGAGACTATAGTCGGAAACCTTAGAAGTCTACCAGTTATTCTGTTGTACTGTGCTAAGCTGGCATTGAAACTACAAGATGCAGTCTTTCCCACTCTTTCCTTTTTCCAAAGGCAGAGGAACCTCACCAAGTAGCTACTGCCAGTACAGGCCATGGAGATTGCTGTCAGACTACCACCAGTGTTCCTTAAAGCCCAAAGGCTCTTAAGTCAGCTTGTGGTGAATGCTGCCTGGACTAGGACTCGCCCGTCAGGGCAGTAGGCTCCCCTCTGTCTCAGGGAAGGTCCAGAGATGACATCCAAGAGTCAAGTCCTGGAATTGGAGACTCAAGAGCCTTCTTGATGCTCTACCCCTCTGTGGCCTTGCTGGTACCCAAAGTCAGCAAGTTTCAGTGTTTCACTCATGGTCTTAGACATAGTACCTGAGTACTGCTGCTGGTTATTCAAGACCTAAGGGCTCTTCAGTTAGCAGGTAAGGAAGTCTGGAAAGATTGGGTTCCTTCCTTCAAGGCAGCAGATTCCCTTCTGACCCAGGCTGTGTCTAGAATTGTTTGGGATGGGGTCCAGATGACTCTGACTAATGTTCTATCCTGCTACTGCTGAGCTCATTTCCAAGATGCAAGCAAAAGTCTTCTCCACTCTTCCCTTTCCTTCATAAAGTGGATGGAAGGGGTATGTTTTGGAGGTGTGAGGCATGCAGCCTTGGGTTAGGGAGAGGGCTGATGCCAGCACTTCCTAAGCCTCCCCATCTGGTGTCTCAGCAGGTCATGTGTCCCCCTAGTTCACTGTCTGTGGGCCTATTTTAGCACGAGGACTTGCCTAAGAGTTGCAGTCCTTCTAATCCAGACTGCCTTTCAAGTTTACTTAAGAGATCGAGTACACTTTAGCCCTTGGTGGCAAGATTTATGGCAGCTCAAGTTACAACCACTGGGATCCATTATTCCCCGCTAGCTAGAGTTGGTTTAAATGCTACCTCTATGGGCAGCCATCAGGTTAGGTGAGTTCAGTTTTCCCTTCTGCTCTAATAGAAAAGCGCTGAGTTCAATGTTGCACAATTGCTCTGCTCTCCCTACTCCAGCACCCAGAGATGCCCTCAGTACCACACTGCTGCTTTTGGGGGTGGCAGAGGGGTGGCATTCATGATTCAAGACTGTTTTTTTCTATCTCTTCAGTGCCATTTTCAGTGATATGATGTTACAGTCAGGTACTATGAAGGTTCACTTGATTTTTGGTACTTATAAAGTTTTTGTTTCTGTTTTTGTTTTTGTTTTTCTGTGTAGATAGTTGTTAAATTGGTGTCCATGTGAGGGGGATGATCAGTGGAGCCTTCTATTCTGTCATTTTCCTCTATCTCTTCCTTGAAAACACAATAAAATCAACATCCCTTCATGATAGAAACCATCAACAAATGAAGCAAAAAAGGAACAAGCCTCAAAATATAAAAAGCCATTAATGACAAACCCACAGCCAACGTTATAGAAAATAGGAAAAAGCTGGAAGTTTTCCTCTTGAAAACTGAAACAAGACAAGGATGCTCACTCTCACTACTACTCTTCAACATTCTGGAAGTTCTTCTGAAAAAGATCTGGAAGTTCTAGTCAGAGAAATCTGGCAAGATAAATAAATAAAAGGAATTCACATAACAAATATGTCAAATTATTTCTCTTCGCTAATGATACTATTCTATACCTAGAAAACCCAAAAGACTCAGCCAAAAGGCTCCTGGAACTGATAAACGACTTCAGTAAAGTCCCCGCATTAAAAAAGTCAATGTACAAAGATTAGTAACATTTCTATACACCAGTAACATTCAAGCTGAGATCAAAATTAGGAAAGCTATCCCATTTACATTTTCCCTAAAAAGTAAAATACCTGGGAATACATCTAACCAAGGAGATGAATTAATTCCATAAAGAGAACTACAACATACTGCTGAAAAAATTCACAGATAACAGAAAGAAATGGAAAAACATTTCATGCTCATAGATTGGAAGAATAAATATCATTAAAATGGCCATACCACCCAAAGCAATCTACAGATTCGACGCTATTCCGATCAAACTACCAAAGTCATTACTTTTCAATGAACTACAAAAACTAATTCCAAAATTTATATGGAACCAGTCACCTGTATGGCCAAGGAAATATGAAGCAAAAACAAACAAACAGAAAGCTGGAGTCATCACGTTACCTGACTTCAAACTATATTATAAGGCTAGAGCAATAAAATGGTACTATTACATGTATGGTACTATTACCAAAACAGACACTTAGATCAATGGAAAAAAATAGAGAACCCAGAAATAAAGCCAGAGACCTATAGCCATGTGATCTTCGACAAAGTCAACAACAATCAGCAACTGAAAAGGGGCTGCTTATTCAATAAGTGGTGCTAGGATGACTGGCTAGCCATATACACAATGAAACTGGATTTCTATCTTTCAACACATACAAAAATTAACTCAAGTTGGATTAATGAATTAATCCAACTATGAGTCCTACGAGAAAATAAAGAAAAACTATTCTGGACATTGGCCTTAGAAAAGAATTTATAAGTAAGTCCTCAAAAGCAATTGCAACAAAAACAAATATTCACAAGTAGAACCTAATTAAACTAAAGAGCTTCTGCACAGCTAAAGAAACAATCAAGAGAGTAAACAACCTACAGAATGGAGAAATTATTCACAAACTATGTGTGATGGTTAACACTAGATGTCAACTTTACTGGATTGAGGGATGTCTAGATGGCTGGTAAAGTAGTGTTTCTGGGTGTGTCTGTGCAGGTGTTGCCAGAGGAGACTGACATTTGTGTCAGAGGACTGGGAGAGGATGACCTACCCTGAATGTGGGTGGGGACCATCCAGTTGGCTGCCAGTGTGGCTAGAACAAAGCAGGCAGAAGAGGTTATAAGCTGGCTTGCTGCATCTTCTGGCTCTGTCTTTCTTCCTGTGCCAGATTCTTGCTTCTACTCCTCCTGACCTTGGACATCAGACTTCAGGTTCTTTGGCCTTTGGACTCTGGGACTTGTACCAGTGATTTCCTGGAGGCTCTTGGGCTTTGGCCGCAAACTGCAAACTGCACTGTCAACTTTCCTGGCTTTGAGGCTTTTAGACTTGGACTGAGCTACTAACAGCTTTTCTCTTTCCTCAGCTTGCAGACTGCCTGTTGTGTGATTTCGCCTGGTAATCATGTGAGCCAAATCTCCCTAATAAACTCCTATTGGTTATTTCCCTCTGGCATATCCTGGCTAATACCCTATGCCTCTAACAAACATATAATATCCAGTATCTATAAGAAACTTAAAGAATTCAATAAACAAAATACAAATAACCCCATTAGAAAGTGGGCAAAAGACATGAACAGGCACTTTCAAAAGAAGATACACAAGTGGCCAACAAACATAAGAAAAAATGTTCAGCATCACTAATCATCAGAGAAATGCAAATCAAAACCAAATGGGATGCCATCCAATACTAGTCAGAACGACTATTGTTGAAAAGTCAAAAAGCAAAAGATGCTGATGAGGCTGCAGAGATAAGGACACACTTATACACTGTTGGTGGGAATGCCAATTAGCTTAGCCACTGTGAAAAGCAGTATGGAGATTTCTCAAAGAGCTTAAAATAGAATTACCATTCAGCCCAGCAATCTTATTACTGGGTATATATCCAAAAGAAAACGAATTGTTCTACCAAAAAGACACATGCACTTGCATGTTGACATGGTACTATTCACAATAGCAAAGACATGGAATCCACCTGGATGCACATCAATGGTGGTTTGGATAAAGATACTGTGATACATATACACCATAGAATACTAAGCACCCATTAAAGAGAAGAAAATTATATCCTTTGCAACAACATGGATGCATCTGGAGGCCATTATCTGAAATGAATTAACACAGGAACAAAACCTAATACCATATGTTCTGACTTATAAGTGGGGGCTAAACATTGGGTGCTCATGGATGTAAAGATGGCAAAAATAGACACTGAGGACTACCAGACAGGAGAGGGCAAGAGTGGAGCAAGGTTTGAAATACTAACTATTGGACACTGTGCTCTGTTTCTGGGTGATGGGAACAATCATACATTGAACATCAGCATCATGTGGTATACCTATGTAACAAACCCGCACATATACCCTCCGAATATAAAAAAAAACTTGGAATTAAAAAAATTATAATTGTAGAATTTAACAAGACTTTCTCCACAATTAATGGGACATTCTGAAAAATATCATCGATATTAAAAAAAATAGTATGAACAATTTTAACCCAATTGGTATCTATAGAACATGGCATTCTAAAATTGCATAATACACATTTTTGAAGTGTACCTTATATGTTAATTAAGATAGACCTTAGTTTGTTCCATAAAACAAATCTCTATTCATGTATAAGGACTTAAATTGGAGAGACCGTTCTCTGTTAAAAACAGGAATGATTAGAACTGTATAATGTTGAGAGACAGTTATTCATGGAATAATTGCCTTTATTCTTTTCTTCTGAGCAAAGAAATTAACCATTTTTATTATTCTCTATCTTACTAAGGATGCCTACTTGCAAACAGCCTGTGCAAAAAGATAGTCATTACCTTCATGGTAGATGGAAGATTTATTTTCTGACTAGCAGAATTTAAAAATAAAAAAAAGGTATCACTCCAGGGTGAAGACTGGGCATCTTTTCTAGCCTTCACCTTACAAGGTTAGGGTTTCCTACACTCTGAGTTCTTCAGCTGTGAACATAAATTCACTACCTGCACAGCATCCAACTGGGTCTGCCACCACATTTCCTCTGTATGGTAGGGAGAACAAGGGGTGACTCTTGCAAACATGAGGGTCATGCTGCCTGCTCTGCCATTAGTAATCTATTCTTTTCTCTGACCTGGGATTCTTGTCTTCTCTCAGCATCTATTTTCTCTCTCAGCATCTATGAAACAAATTAATATGTGTGATTTTAGGTAGAGTAAAATCTAAAATCCTTCACAGTTTTTGATAGTTTTGGTAATGAAGATGGTATCTAAATGGTGACATGACTTTCTGCAAGAGAAAAGAACAACAGCTCTACATGTGCTAGATTCGCAAACATGAGAAATCTTCCTGGGATCAAGTAGCAAATGTTCTTGACAAGAGGTGAGTAAGTTAAAGGTAAAGGTATCTTGGTGTTCTACCTTTTAATGAGGCTGAGTTTGGATGGGTAGGATAAAGACAGGCTGCCTAAATTTTGTTTTTCACTGTTCTCCAGGCAGGAAGAGAAAGCTTCCATGTGTCTCTAATGCTGATATAGAGCTTTAGATTGATCAATAAAACAGAAGTTCATTTGCTTGCATTGTTAAGAGGTGAACAGGCTCCTGGAAAAAGAAAGTAAATTTGTGTTAATTACTGGTGCAATGTTGTTCTCTTTGTTCACGCCCTCTAATCTCTCATTCTTCCTCTACCACAACCTCAGTTTAAGAAAAACAACACCACCACCACCAAAAAAAAAAAAAAAAAAAAAAAAAAAAAAAAACGAGTATCCTGGAAACTTCAGAGAATGTGTAGACGAAAACTTTTGTGATTATGTTAGATTCAGGTGCCTCAGTCACCATCCTATCTGTGTCCATGGAGGATAGAAACATCCTAATTCAACAAGTGATCTTTGTGCAGTATTTATAGTAGGGGGAGAAAACTAACATAAACTTGTGGCTGAAGCCTTTTGACTAATTCAATGTGTTTCCTTCAGTTTCTTCTAAATCTGAATACATAGTAGAAATGAATATGTTTTATTATTGCACTTCTCTATTCATAAATGCCATAGAGGATTAACTTTTGGGGGTAACAGCTACAAATAGAGGAGTGCTAGGAAGACAAACTCCCCTTCTATTTCTGCCAGTTGAGTTTGTCAGTATTTAACATAAGTGTCTCTCACTTCTAATGTCCAACATTTTCAATATATAGAGAATATCCTGCCAATTAAGAAGACACAGTCTTAATAGCACTGACTGTGATATTATTTTACCTCTGCCAAAAGAATAATCTGATAGACCTTGTCAAGGACCTACTTGCCTAATATATTTTCTTGGGACAATGTGAGTGAATTCACAATACTCAATCCTTATCACATGCCTTAAAAAGGCTTTCTCTTCACTTCCTCTACCCTTCTACCAAAACGAATCCTAGCATCTTATTAAGCTTTTTGAGTCTTAGAAGCTGTACCCAAAAAGTCAAGGTTCTCCAGAGAAACAGAACCAGTAGTGTTGAGACAACTGTATAGCTGCATGTGAAAGAATGAAGTTGGCCCCTTACTTCACGCCACATACAAAATAAATAAATAAATAAATAAAAACAGAAAAAAACTCAAAATGAATCAAAAACCTAACTTAAATGTAAAAGTTAAAACTAAAAAAGAAAATTCCTTGCAAAAAACAGGGGTAGCAATGTTAGTTCCATATAATGCAATTAGTTGAGATATATTATAAGTCACTTAATTTATGGATAACTCTTGCTACTTCTTCCTGCCTTCACTCTTTTTTCTTTTTCTTTTTATTTTTTTTCTGTAGATTATCCCACAGTCTGAATTTTTGTGGTCTCAATATTCTAGTGCTATTATATAATATCTTATCCTGTAAATGTTTCTGGCAAATTTATGTCCTACATGAATAATCAGACTCAGAGATGGTTTTTGACTCTTAATTACTTCATAGGTGGTGTTGCATTCTTTTATTATTAAACACGTGAAGTCTAGTTGCTTTTTTGTGAACTTAGCAACCATTTATGATCAATGTCCAAGTAAATTAATTCATTAAAGGTCACAAAATTGTGGTACTATAATTATTTCAACAATAAATATAAATGTATTCCAGTTTCCTCTTGCTGAAACTGATTCATATATCTTAATTGTTAAGTTTGGTCATTGCTTTGTGAAATTGATAATTTTGGTACCTTTAGAATCATGTCCATTAGTTATTTTTTCACTTGTATTTATTCACTTTTTATTAGTTTAAATCATAGAATGGTACAGCATCATATGTTAAAAGACCCAAGGCCAAATGCAGTGGCTCATGCCTGTAATCCCAACGCTTTGGAAGGCCTAGGTGGGAGGATCAGCTGAGGTCAGAAGTTCAAAACCAGCCTGGCCAACATGGTGAAATCCCATCTCTGCTAAAAATACAAAAATTAGCTGGGCGTGGTGGTTGGCACCTGTAATCCCAGCTCCTGGGGAGGCTGAGGCAGGAGACTCGCTTGAACCCAGGAGGCGGAGGTTTCAGTGAGCCAAGATCGTGCCATTGCACTCCAGCCTGGGCAACAGAGCAAGACTCCATCTCAAAAAAAAAAAAAAAAAAAGAACCCAAGGAAAGAAGATAGGCAAAATGAGGACTAATAAAATCTTTTGCAAACTTATATAATGAATAACTTAATATAGAATATATAAAGAACTTTTATAATTGGGGATGGTTAATATGTTAAAAATATGTAGTTATAAAGAATGAATAAGACCTAGTATTTTATATACAGCAGAGTGGCTACAGTTAATAATAATTGAATTATATATTTTAAAATAACTAAAACTATATATAATTAGATTGTTTCTAATAAAAAGGATAAATGCTTAGCGGATAAATAACCCTTTTTCATAATGTGATTATTTCTCATTGCATGACTGTATCAAATTATTTCATGTACCTTATGAATATGTATACCTACTATGTACTCACAAAAATCAAATATATAAATATATGTATTAATTTTAAAAATAAAATTATAAAATGAAAAATAATAAAAAAAAAAGCTGAGAATGGAGTGTAAAGCCTGCAAACACAATTTTGGAGTTGAGGGGAATTACATGATCCCTACTTCATGTCTTCTTTAAATTTTCTGGTTTGTTTTGTGACCACAATTCTATTTTATTTACACTTATACATATCAGGTATTGTAGGAGAGAGGAATTGAGAAGAAAAACTGACTTTTTGTTGCTTAAAATTTTTAAAAAGAAATGGATTCAGGAAGGAGGTAGAATTGACAAACTCTTCAAAGCAGTGTGGGTTTCTCTAGTCATAGATATCACATTACTAAAATGCCAGGAGAAGGCATTGCTTATCATGTTTTCTACATTTATGCTCCCCTGCTCCCCTAACATGTGGTGTTTGGTTTTCTGTTCCTGTGTTAGTTTGCTGAGAGTGATGGTTTCCAGCTTCATCCATGTCCCTGCAAAGGACATGAACCCATTCTTTTTTATGGCTGCATAGTATTCTATGGTATATATGTGCCACATTTTCTTTATCCACTCTAACAATCATGGGCATTGGGGTTGGTTCCAAGTCTTTGCTATTGTGAATAGTGCTGCAAAAAACATACGTGTGCATGTGTCTTTATAGTAAAATGATTTATAATCCTTTGGGTATATACCCAGTAATGGGATTGCTGGGTCAAATGGTATTTCTACTTCTGGATCCTTGAGGAATCATGCACTGTCTTCCACAATGGTTGAACTAATTTACACTCCCACGAACAGTGTAAAAGCGTTTCTATTTCCCCATATCTGTTGCGTGAAGTCGGGGACTCTGAACAGAGGGACCGGCTGAAGCCATGGCAGAAGAACATAAATTGTGAAGATTTCATAGACATTTATTAGTTCCCCAAATTAATACTTTTATGATTTCTTACACCTGTCTTTACTGCAATCTCTGAAAATAAATTGTGAAGATTTCATAGGCATTTATCACTTCCGCAATCAATACTCTTGTGATTTCCTATGCCTGTCTTTACTTTAATCTCTTAATCCCCTCATCTTTGTAAGCTGAGGATGTATGTTGCCTCAGGACCCTGTGATAATTGCATTAACTGCACAAATTGTTTGTAGAGCATGTGTGTTTGAACAATATCAAATCTGGGCACCTTAAGAACAGGATAACAGCAATGTTCAGGGAACAAGGGAGATAACCTTAAAGTCTGGCTGCCTGTGGGTTGGGCGGAGCAACTAATGAAGTAAGAGGGAAGTAAAAAAGAGGATGATGTTCTGGAAGGCAAGGGAAGAAAAATGTCAAGAAGCGGTGACAGATCAACTACGTCAAGTGTTGTGAGAATAGGTAAGATAAAAACTTAAAGGTGACTCTCGTGTTTTGCCTTCTGGAAGCTTACATAATTGTTAGGAGAAAAGCGTAATGAATATAGTTGTGCCTCACCTAGAGGAAATAAATCAAAACTATATCTAGGCAAATATACTGGTCCATAGATTGATATGTATGGGATTATTTCAAGAAATATTCAAGATTAGTATTAGTAACATTATTTCATATTAATATAGTAGTATTAATATTTACCATTGACACTTGAATAGGAGTATATCTTAGATAGGTGGAAAAGAATGAAGAGATTCTTTCATGAAGGAAGGTAAGAATTAAGAAACAATATATAGAGGGATTGAGCCACAAGTTTAACTTTCACATTCTTTCTATAAGAAACGAAACAAGAAAATTTCACTGTAATACTACGGACTATAAACTCTCCAATTTATAATTTCTTTCTCATCATAATGCACTTTTCTACAGCAGCTCTCTAGAAAAAAAAAGAAAAAAAAAACCGGAACATTACTCTTATTTTTCCCAAGGCTAATCAGAAAAAAAGGGTACATCTAGTTAACAACCCAAAAACCTGTTAGCTATCTTATGCTGTATAAAGCAGTGCATTGTTTTATAAACATACCCAAATATTTAGTTGCTGTATGCTCAAATTTTTCACTGTGCAGAATATAACTCATTCAATTCCAAGCATACAACTCATCTGTTACTATAATATATGTTTGATTAAAATGCAGGCCATTGCAGCTCCTTTATCTTCACGAAGTGCCAAAAGAATTTATAAGCATGGAATTGGTATTCAAAACAGATTAACATTTATATTGGTTCTCATTCACCTCCTAGGTTTAATATCTTCATTTAAAATTGCCTCTGGTTAAAGATTATGCAGGCTCACACACTTTAAGGATGTAGAGCTTAAAGCCATAATGACTACTTCAAATTAGTGCTATTCATTATCAGTTCCTTATATTTACAGTAGTGAATTGTTTGACATATAACAAGGACAGATAAGAGTATCTGATTAAAACTATCAGGCAATGTTGTAAAACTTCCAAATTGAAGCTTATAAGGCAATATTGATCTTTTTTTTCTCCACCAGTATTTAAGAATTTGCTGATGCTAAAGATCAAAAGGATATTTTTCCCATAGGCTTTAAAAAGCAACCAATCTAAAAATAGAATATTTTAGATTGTATACATCATTGATGCCATGTTCCCCCAACTACATATAAATTTAGAAGATTGTCTTTTTAAAAGATTGTGTAAGAATTAACTTTATTAAACTAACCCATTGACATTGATCCTGAGGAAGTGATTCCTAAGTTAATTCTTTACACAGCAAGTTAGAAAAAAATCTCCTCTAAACCTCATTCTTAAAACACTTGCTACAAACCATATTAGACATTCTGTTTACTATAAATTGGTTTTAATGTCAGATTTTACTCTTGCCTGTTTGTTTTGTATAAGAAAATATTTAAGATTATGATATATACTTTTTCAAAATGAAGCTTATTTTACATCATGACAGAGATCTATCACAATAACCATGAAATGTCAATATAATTTGGATATCTGACCTAAAGGACATGAAAAACTTATATTAGGATTGTTTTAAAATATATTATGAATACATAGCTTTTATAGTGTGCTAATATGAAAAGGAGAATCGGCAAACATGCACATGCTAATTTATTATTATTTAAATTTACCTTTATATCCATTTTTGTTGTTGTTGTTGTTGTTTTGTTGTTGTTGTTTTTTGGGTTTTTTTTTTTTTTTGAGACAGAGTTTCGTTGTTGTTGCCCAGGCTGGAGTGCAATGTCGCAATTTTGGCTCACCGCAACCTCCACCACCTGGGTTCAAGCGATTCTCCTGCCTCAGCCTCCCGAGTAGCTGGCATTACAGGCATGCGCCACCACCCTGGCTAATTTTGTATTTGTAGTAGAAACGGGGTTTCACCATGTTAGTCAGGCTGGTCTTGAACTCCCCACCTCAGGTGATCCGCCCACCTGGGCCTCCCAAAATGTTGGGATTACTGGCGTGAGCCACCATGCCCAGCCCATTTGTTTTAATATTAAATAAACTTATATCATAGGAGTATATGTAGTAAACCCTGATTTGATAGTACTCTTAGTGACCTACTAATAAAAGTGAAAAACAAAAACATTGGCTACAGAAATCAATGACTTGAACATTGTTCTACAATATTTTCTTAGACGTTCAATGGTGGTTGAGGGAAAACATTTCACCATAAATGAAGGCAAGTGAGCAGTCTAAAACAGAGGTCATATTTTTACCTTTAAGAGAAAAGAAATTAACTGAAATAATGCATTGAATAAACCTGATGAGATGTCAAAATGTTCACTCATGCTGAAGTAGTATGAGAAAAAGTTATATACAACTATCGAGTATCAGTAATTACATTCTGAGTTTCAAGGAGCAATAATGAACCTAAGAAAGTGGTAAATATATAGTTATATGTAAACAAATATTTACATCTTGAAACACTAATAAATTTGCTTTTGAAGGATAAATTAAAAAATTCAGCAAATAAAACCTAAAATTTATTAATGAAGAGAGTAATTATTGTTCAAATGTTCTTAGGAACTTGTATTGGTTTTGCATTGAAGTTCACTATTTTGATTCTATATGCATGTTAAACTGTCAAGGACAACCATCAAAAGAGAAGAAAGAAAGATTATAACTTCCAAACAAGCAGAGAGACAAAAAATAAAATGAGAAAAAAGTGGGGAAAAAGGAGATTAAAAGAGATATAAATGGCAGGAAATTAAAATACAAAATTAAATGATTGAAATAAATAAAAATACTTCAGTAATTTAACTCACCTAAGTATGAAGACTTCAAGGCTAATTACAAAATAAAATCTCACTATAAGCTTTCTATAAGAAACTTTTTTTTTTTTTTTTTTGAGATGGTGTCTCTCTCTGTCACCCAGGCTGGAAGGCAGTGGTGTCATTTCGGCTCACTGCAACCTTCCTCTCACAGGTTCCAGAGATCCTCCTGCCTCACCCTCCCAAATAGCTGGGATGACTGGCATGTGCCACCACACCTGGCTAATTTTTATATTTTTTGTAGCGACAGAATTTCGCCATGTTGCCCAGGCTGTTCTCTAACTCCTGGACTCAAGTGATCTGCGCACCTCAGCCTTCCAGAGTGCTGGGATAAAAGGCATGAACCATCCCACTAGCCTTCCAGAAACATATCTAAATATAGGGTATATAAAAGTAAAGCATGAAAAAGTAAAAAAGAAAGCTTAGATACAACTCTTAATAGCACAGTGAAAAACAAATTAAACTCTTCAAGGAAGAATACACTGATAGAGATAAAGAGGGGCTCCACAACACACACACACACAAATTTTCAATTAATCAAGAATACATAGAGGATATATAATGCACACACATGTATCTGTATAGCTGGTGTACTGGAGTCTCCTGTTGTTGGCTTATAAGAGCTGATTGTTATCTTTTTCTCAGCTCAGCCTTAGTGACTTCAGCTTATATCTTGGGGAGATTATTTGTGCCACAGAAATGGATAAACACGATAAATCAGGGCATCTTTTTCCTTGAAGAGAGCTGAATTTCAAACATTTACCAGTACGCTCCTCATTTTATGCATCTAAAAATATACAGAGTGGAAATTGACACAACTAGAGCTACAAGGAAAAAATAAAGACATCAATGTAGTAGGGGATTCTAACACTTCTTCCTATAATTGATGTTTTAAACAAATAGAAAATCAGTAAGTATAAAAAGGATTTTAATGACACAACAATCTCACTGTAATAGATACATTCAAAACACTGCAGCAATAGTTGAAAATACATAATATTTAAAGCATATACTGTACATTTATGAAACCAACCACATACAAAACCACAGACTGAGTTCCAATAAATATCAAAGGCCTAGTATCATACATCCCACATTCTTGGATCATTATGCAATTAAGTTAGAAATCTAAAAAATAAAGATGACTTTAAAAATGTACATATATATGAAACTAATAAATGTACTTCTAAGTAACTTACTACGAAAGAAGAAATTATACTGTACATCAGAAAATATTTACAGCTGAAAACAGAAATACTACTTATAAAAATATGTCCAAAGCAAGTTTACCTTAGGAGGCAGGCTGAAAATCAATGAGTTTCAAAACACAAAAGGATCAAAACTATTAAGAAATAAGAAAGCCCAGGCATGGTGGCTCACGTCTGTAATCCCAGCACTTTGGGAGGCCGAGGCATGCAGATGACGAGATCAGGAGATTGAGACCATCCTGGCTAACACAGTGAAACCCTGTCTCTACTAAAAATACAAAAAAATTAGCCAGGCGTGGTAGTGGGCGCTTGTAGTCCCAGCTTCTCCGGAGGCTGAGGCAGGAGAATTGCGGGAACCCAAGAGACGGAGCTTGCAGTGAGCCGAGATCGCACCACTGCACTCCAGCCTGGGTGACAGAGCGAGACTCCATCTCAAAAATAAATAAATAAAATAAATAATAATAATAAATATTAGAAAATAAATTTATAAAACAGGAAACTAATATATAATAGAGAATATAACTTAATCCAAATATCTTCCATTTTAAAAGATAGATTGACAAATTTCTGCCAAGATGGATGCAGAATAAAAGAGAAAAAGAAAAAATAAGTATTTGTAGAAACAAGAACTAGAAAATAAAACTTATTCTGCATAAATATAAAAGAAGATGCAATGAAGAATATGGTAATAAATCTGAAAATCTATACGGACTACATTTCTAAAAAATATTTTCTCAGAAGAAAACACTCTCTATCATGTAAAGAGACTAGAATATCCTTGATATGAAATGATATAAATAGAACAAAAATTAAGCCATTACCAATATTTTATTAGGTATTATACAAGTTAGGGTAGTGATAGACTAAACCTTCAAGAGCAATGGGAACTGACTGCTTGACATGAAATGTCAAGGTATCAAGATCATTAAATATGAGTAGAATTACTTTAGAATCGTTTCATTACAATTATGACTTTATTCATTTTTAAAATTTTTGAATTAATTTAATTATTTTGTAATACATAAAATATTGCCTATAATCTCCAACTTAACATTTTATACTTGCTGAATTACATTTTGAAAATCATGTTCAAAATTACACTTTATTGAAATGCCTAAAGCAAGACCATTGTAGGACTAATGTAGTTAACTATAATTTATTGTATGTTTTTAAAAAGCTTGAAGAGAGGATTTTGAATGTTCACAAAACAAATAAATGATAAATGAGGTGATGGGTATGCTACTTATCCTGATTTGACTATTACACCTTGTATACACATATCAAAATATCACTATGTATCCCAAGAATACTTAAAATTATTACATGTCAACTAAAAATAAAATAAAATAATAGGTCTTGTTAAAATCATATACAATTTCATGATATATATGCATATGTATAAAATCATATATAAAGATATATAAAAATCATATAGAAATTATATATATAAAGAAAGAAATAAAGGGCATCCAAATAGGAAGAGAGGAAGTCAAACTATTTCTGTTTGCAGATGACATGATCCTATATTTAGAAAACCCCATAGTCTTGGCCCAAAAGTTCCTTAAGCTGATGAAGAACTTCAGTAAAGTCTCCAGACACAAAATTTATGTACAAAAATCAATAGCACTCCTATCCAACAACAAGAGTCAAGTTGAGTACCAAATCAAGAATGCAATTCCATTCACAATTGCCACAAAAAGAATAAAACACCTAGGAATAAAACTAACCAGGAAGGTAAAAAAAATCTCAGCAAGAATAACTGCAAAACATTGCTCAAATAAATCAGAGATGACACAAACAAATGGAAAAATGTGCCATGATCTTGGATAGGAAGAATCAATATGGTTAAAACGGCCATAATGCCCAAGGCCATTTATAAATTTAATGCTATTCCTATCAAACTACCAATTACATTCTTCACAAAACTAGAAAAAAAACACTATTTTAAAATTCATATGAAACTGGAAAAGAGCCTGAATAGTAAAGGCAATTCTAAGTGAAAGAATAGAGCTAGAGGCATCATGCTGCCTTACTTCAAAATATACTACAGGGCTACAGTAACCAAAACAACATGGTACTCGTACAGAAACAGACACATAGACCAATGTAACAGAATAGAAAGCCCAGAAATAAGACAGCACACATACAAGTATCTGATCTTTGACAAAGTCAACAAAAGCAAGTAATGGAGAAAGGATTCCTTATTCAACAAATGATGCTGAGATAATTGGCTAGCTATATGAAGAGAATTAAAACTGGCCTTTTTCCTTACACCAGATAAAAAAATTAACTCAGGTTGGATTAAAGACTTAAATGTAAAACCAAAAATTATAAAAACCCTGGAAGACAACCTAGGCAATACCATTCAGGACACAGGCAGGGGCAAAGATTTCATGATGAAGATGCTAAAAACAATTGTAACAAAAGTAAAAGTTAATACATGGAATCTAATTTAAGTAAAGAGCTTCTGCACAGCAAAATAGACTATCAACAGAGTAAACAGCCTACAGAATGGGAGAAAAAATTTGCAAACCATATATCCGACAAAGGTCGGTCTAATATCCAGCATCTGTAAGAAACTTAAAGAGACTTACAACAAAAAACCAAATAACTCCATTAAAATTGGGCAAAGGACATGAACACTTTACAAAAAAAAAAACATACATGTGGCCAACAATCATAAGAAAAGCTCAACATCACTGACTATTGAAGAAATGCAAATCAAAACCACAATGAGATATCATCTCACAGCAGTCAGGATGGTGATTATTAAAAAGTCAAAAAACAACAGATACTGACAAGGTTGTGGAGAAAAAGGAACACTTATACATTGTTGGTGGGAGTGTAAATTAGTTCAACCATCGTAGAAGAAAGTGTGGTGATTCTCCAAACACCTAAAGACAGAAATACCATTAGACCCATCAATCCCATTACTGAGTACATACCCAAAGGAATATAAATTATTCTTTTATAAAGACACATGCACATATATGTTGATTGTAGCACTACTGACAATAGTAAAGACATGGAATCAACCTAAATGCCTATCAATGATAGACTGGATAAATATCATACATATACACCATGGATTACTATGCAGGCATCAAAAAGAAAAAGATCATATCCTTTGCAGGGACATGGATACAATTGGAGGCCACTATCCTTAGCAAACTAACACAGGAACAGAAAACCAAATACAACATGTTCTCACTTATAAGTGGGAGTTAAATGATATGAACACATGGACACATAGAGGGGAACAACACACACTAGGGCCTATAAGAGGGTAGAAAGTGAGAGGAGGGAGAGGATCAGAAAAAATAACGAATGGATGGTAGTCTTAATAACTGGGTGATAAAATAATCTGTAAAGCAAACCCCCATGACACAAATTTACCTATGTAACAAACTCTATGTTCAAGTTTACCTATGTAACAAACCTATATACCCCTGAACTTAAAATAAGAGTTAACTTAAAATAAAATATTCATGATACAAAATCTTCAATTTTAATTTCATTTTGCCACTTTAATCTATATTTTATTTATTATTTATTTTTATTACTTTTTAATTTTTAACTTATATTTTAGGTTCAAGGGTACATGTGAAGTTTTGTTACATAGGTAAACTTGTGTCACAGAGGTTTGTTGTACAGATATTTCCTCACCCAGGTATTTAGCAGAGTACTCAATAGTTATCTTTTCCATTCTCCCTTCTTCTTCTCTTGACTCTGAAGTAGAGACAATGTCTGTTTCTTCTTCTTGTTCATGAGTTCTCATCATTTAGCATAAATCATTGCAACAAAAGTAAACTTATTAGTGAAGAAATGCAGTATTTGGTTTTCTGTTGCTGCATTAGTTTGCTAAGGATAATAGCCTCCATCTCCATCCATGTTCCTGAAAAACACGCCATCTTGTTCTTTCTTATGGCCACAAAGTGTTCCATGGTGTATATGCACCATTTTCTTCATACAGTCTGTCATAGATGGGCATGTAGGTTGATTCTATGTCTTTGCTATTGTGAATAGTGCTGCAATGAACATCCACGTGCATGTGTCTTTGTGGTAGAATGATTTATTGCATCTATTTTTCAATAAAATAATTTTAAATTATTGATAATCTAAACGAGATTCATCAGTTCATATAGTCACTCAAGGCAAAAATAGCCTAAGTATGATCAAATAATTTAGCATAAAAATAAATTTTTAAGAACAGTTTTCAATAGATGTTTATCTTAATAAAGTACTGATGTTTTCAGAAACCTGGCAATAATAATTTCCTTAAATTAAGTTCCCCATACTATGAGAAGTAAAACCTACAGTGAGGCTGATTAGATGAAAATCTGTTTCTCTCTTAAGAAGAAATCTGATAATCAGAAGAAATTGATTAGTTTTCAGATTAATAAAGGAACAAGAGTTACATACATGCAAAAATAACACAATAGAAAAGTTCTAATGATAAGCAGAGACATACATAAATTGGTATTTTGTATATTTTATTGGTATTTTGTATGGTTTGTTCATAGTTTTTGATATTTTATAAAGCACTTTAGAAATTGTGGCTAAATTGGATCATATTTAATTAATATTATTTCCTGAGGGTACTCTATACTCCTGTAGAAATTAACAATTATACTTTATGATCATTATGGTCATCTTCTTTTTCATCTTATTGTAGTGTTACAAACTGGAAGAAAACCTCCCAAAGTGAAGGTTTTCGTGTAGACAAAATTTCAATTTTTCCCTGGCAAATATTTAGGAGTGGACTGACGGGGCCATATTTTAGGTTATGTTTGAAATTGTTTTTTAAATTTCCATTTTTCAGAGTGGTTGCAACATTTTACATTTCTGCTAATAATGTATGAGAGTTTCAGTTGCTGTGCATTATTGTCAGCACTTTGTGTTGTCATTTATTTTTAATTTTAGCCATTTTAATAGATGTATGGTGGTATTACATTGTGTTTTCATTTTGCATTTTGCTGACAGTGGTATGTAACATCTTTTCACGTTTATTTTCCATCTATATATCAACTTGGGTTAAATGTCTGCTCAAGTCTTTTGCCCATTTTTATATAAACTTTTTATTTTGAGATTACAGACACACATGCAGTTGTAGGAAATAATACAGAGACATGCTCTATACCAAACATTCACTTTTCCCAGTGGTAACTTCTGGTATACTTATAGAATAATAACACAACCAGAAAAACAACATTGGTAAAATCAATTGACCTTATTCAGAGTTCTCATTTTATATGAACTCCTGTGTGTGTGCACACATGAGTGTGCACATGCACGTGCATTTAGATCCATGCACTTTTATTGAAAAACAATTTCAATAATTTTATTACAATGATTCCTCATGACACTCTATTGTAGCTTCAGACACCTCGCTTTCTTCCTCAAGACATCCTTGTGACCACTCGTCTCTTCTTCATCTCAGTAATTTTGTCATTTTGAGGATGTTATAAAATTGAACAATAAGTATGGAAACTTTTGAGATAGGCTTTTTCTCACTGAGGGTATTTCATTAAGATTTTTCTAAGTTATTGGGTAGGTCAATAGTTTGTTGTTTTATTGCTGAATATTGTTTTATGGTATGCATATATCACAGTTTGTGTATTTATTCACTCACCAAAGGGTAGGGCATGTGGCTTGCTTCCACTTTTTGGCTATTATGAATTAGTCTGCTATAAATATTCATGTAAAGGTTTTGCATCAACATAAATTTTCATTTCTTGGGTAATGCTCAGAACTATAATTGATGGGCATATGGGAAGCACATGCTTAATTTCTAAGAAACATGACATACAATTTGACATACAATTCTCCAGATTGGTGGCTTCACTTTACATTCCCACAGCAATGCATGAATGATGCAGTTTCTCTCCATCTCCACCAAGATATGGTATTGTCACTATGTTGTTTTTAAGCCATCTGATAGGAGTGTAAGGACATCTCATTGAGGTTCTAATTTTAATTTTCTTGTAACTAGTAATGCTGAATATCTTTCAAGAGTTTATTTGCCATTGCATATTTCTTTCAATAAAATGTCTGTTCATATGTTTTGCCTTTCTTATTAGAGGTTTTTTTAAGTTTCTTTTTTTTAACTCTTGAATTTTGAGAGCTCTTTAAAATTCTACTCACAAGTACTTTGTCATGTATGTAATTTGCAAAAAAAAATTTGTGTCAATCAGGAGCTTGTCTGTTCATCCTTTTAATAGGACCACTTCACAGCAAAAGCTTTTTAATTTGATGTAGTCTAATTTACAGATTTTTCCTTTTATGGCCCATGTCTTTAGTGCCAAGTGTAAGAATGATTTGCCCTGCTCCAGATTTTAAGCATTTTCTCAAATTATTTTTTCGAAATCTTTTGTTGTTTACACACTATGTTTAATCTGTGGTCTATTTTGAGTTAATTTTTATAAAAAGAGTAAGATTTATTGAATTATTTTCCCACATTGACAAAAGAAAATTGGCATCACTGTGTGGCTTTCTCATTTTTCTTTCTTTATTTCTTCTTCTAAAAAATAATGGGATACACATGCAGAATGTGCAAGTTTGTTACATATGTATACATGTGCCATGGTGGTTTGCTGCACCTATTGACCCATCCACTAAGTTCCCTCCCCTCAGCCCCCATCCCCTAACAGGTCCTGGTGTGTGTTGTTCCCCTCTCTGTGTCCATGTGCTCTCAATGTTCAACTCCCACTTATGAGTGAGAACATGCGGTGTTTGGTTTTCTGTTCCTATGTTAGTTTGCTGAGGATGATAGCTTCCAGATTCATCCATGTCCCTGTGAAGGACATGATCTCATTCCTTTTTATGGCTGCATAGTGTTCCATGGTGTATATGTACCATATTTGCTTTATCCAGTCTATCATTGATGGGCATTTGAGTTGGTTCCATGTCTTTGCTATTGTGAATAGTGCTGCAATAAACATACGTGTACATATGTCTTTATAGTAGAATGATGTATATTCCTTTGGGTATATACCCAGTAATGGGATTGCTGGATCACATGGTATTTCTGGCACTAGATCCTTGAGGAATGGCCACACTATCTTCCACGATGGTTGAACTAATTTACTTTCCTACCAACAGTGTAAGTGTCTCTATTTCTCCACAGCCTCACCAGTATCCATAATTAGCTAACTTTTTTATAACCGCCATTCTGACTGGCATGAGATGGTATCTCATTGTGGTTTTCATTGGCATTTCTCTGATGATCAGTGATGTTGAGCTTTTTTACATATGTTTGTTGGCCACGTAAATGTCTTCTTTTGAGAAGACATTTGCCCACTTTTTGATCCGGTTTTTTTTTTTTTTTTCTCGTAAATATGTTTAAGTTCCTTGTAAGTACTGGATATTAGACCTTTGTCAGATGGGTAGATTGCAAACATTTTCTCCCATTCTGTAGATTGCTTCTTCACTCTAATGATAGTATCTTTTGCTGTGCAGAAGCTTTTCAG
The DNA here is from genome assembly GCF_000001405.40 of Homo sapiens. Taxonomy (NCBI): domain Eukaryota; kingdom Metazoa; phylum Chordata; class Mammalia; order Primates; family Hominidae; genus Homo; species Homo sapiens. Next base: position 88,703,507 of record NC_000023.11, on the reverse strand, counting down.
TTTAATTAGATCCCATTTGTCAATTTTGGCTTTTGTTGCCATTGCTTTTGGTGTTTTAGTCATCAAGTCTTTGCCCATACCTATGTCCTGAATGGTATTGCATAAGTTTTCTTCTAGGATTTTTATCATTTTTGGTTTTACATTTAAGTATTTAATCCAACTTGAGTTAATTTTTATAAGGTGTAAGGAAGGGTCCAGTTTCAGTTTTCTGCATATGGCTAGCAAGTTTTCCCAGCACCATTTACTGAAGAGGAGATCCTTTCCCCATTGCTTGTTTTTATGGGGTTTGTCGAAGAACAGATTGTTGTAGATGTATGGTGTTATTTCTGAGTTCTCTGTTCTGCTCCATTGGTCTATATGTCTGTTTTGGTATCAGTACCATGATGTTTTGGTTACTGTAGCCTTGTAGTGTAGTTTTATGTCAGGTAGCATGATGCCTCCAGCTTTGTTCCTTTTGCTTAGGATTGTCTTCACTATACAGGCTCTTTTTTGATTCCATATGAAATGTAAAGTAGTTTTTTCTAATTCTAGGAAGAATGTCAATGGTAGTTTGATGGGAATACCATTGAATCTATAAATTACTTTGGACAGTATGTCCATTTTCACAATATTGATTTTTCCTATTCATGAGGACGAAATGTTTCTCCATTTGTTTGTGTTCTCTCTAATTTCCTTGAGCAGTAGTTTGTGGTTCTCCTTGAAGAGGTCCTTCACATCTCTTGTTAGTTTTATTCCTAGGTATTTTATTCTCTTTGTAGTTATTGTGAATGGGAGTTCATTCATGATTTGCTTCTCTGCTTCCCTATTGTGGGTGTAAAGGAATGCTTGTGATTTTTGCACATTGATTTTGTATCCTTAGATTTTGCTGAAGTTGCTTGTCAGTTCCAGAAATTTTTGGGCTGAGATAATGGGTTTTCTAAATATAAAATCATGTCATCTGCAAACAGAGACAACATGACTTCTTGCCTTCATATTTGAATACCCCTGGGCCTGAGCCCCTAGTGAGAGAGGTGGCCACAGTCTCTGTGGAGCACCAGACTGGTAATTCTGTGGAATCTGGGCAGCCAAGACAAATGAGTTTCCCCCCAACAAGGCACACCCTTTCTGCCAAGGGACCAAGTGCTTTGTTAAATGGGTTCTGTTCCCAATGCCATCCTACTGGGTGAGACTTTCCAACAGGTGTTGTCAGACACCCTATACAGGAGCGATCCTACTGGCTTCAGGTTGGTGCCCCTCAAGGTCAGAGGTCCCAGAAGAGGTAGCAGGCACCCATCTTTGCTGTTTTCCAGCCTCCTTGAGTGACATCTCCAGGCACATGAGAGAATCAGATGAATAGGGCCTGAAGTGAACCCCCAGAAAACTGCAGAAGCCCTACTGAAGAGAGACCTGACTATTGAAAGAAAAACAAACAAGCAGAAAGCAACAACGACAAAAAAGGCCCCCACAAAAACCCCATCCAAGAGTCAGCAGCCTCAAAGACCATAACTAGACAAACTCATGAAGATGAGAAGGAATCAATGAGAAAGTGCTGAAAATCGAAAAGGCCAGAATGCCTCTTCTCCTCCAAATGATCACAACGTCTCTCCATCAAGTGCACAGAACTGGACAGAGGATCAGATGGGTGAATTGACAGAAATAGGCTTCAGAAGATGGGTGAGAAAAACCTACGCTGAGCTAAAGGAGCATGTTCTAACCCAATGCAAAGAAGCTAAGAATCGTGATAAAAAGTTGGAGGAATTGCTAACTAGAATAATCAGTTTATAGAGGAACGTAAATGACCTGATAGAGCTGAAAAGCACAGCACAAGAACTTTGTGAAGCATACAAAAATATCAACAGCTGGCCAGGCGCTGTGGCTCACACCTGTAATCACAGCACTTTGGGAGGCCGAGGCCGGCGGATCACGAGGTCAGGAGATCGAGACCATCCTGGCTAACACGGTGAAACCCCGTCTCTACTAAAAATACAAAAAAAAAAATAGCCAGGTATGGTGGCAGGTGTCTATAGTCCCAGCTACACAGGAGGCTGAGGCAGGACAATGGCATGAACCCGGGAGGCGGAGCTTGCAGTGAGCCAAGATCGCGCCACTGCACTCCAGCCTGGGCAACAGAGCGAGACTCCGTCTCAAAAAAAAAAAAAAAAAAATCAACAGCTGAATCAACCAAGTGGAAGAAAGGATATCAGAGTTTGAAGACCACCTTATTGAAATAAGACATGCAGACAAGAATAGAGAAAAGAGAATGACAAGGAATAAACAAAGCCTCCAAGAAATATGGAACTTCATAAAAAGACTGAACCTGTGATTGATTGGAGTACCAGAAGGAGCTGGGGACAATGGAAACAAGCTCAAAAAACACACTTCAGGATATTATTCAGGAGAACTTCCCCAACCTAGCAAGACAGGCCAACATGCAAATTCAGGAAATACAGAGAACACCATGAAGATACTCCATGAGGAGGTCAATCTGAAGACACATAGTCATCAGATTCTCCAAGGTTGAAATGAAGGAAAAATTGTGAAGGGTAGCCAGAGAGGAAGGCCAGGTCACCTACAAAAGGAAGCCCATCAGACTAACAGCAGACCTCTCAGAAGAAACTCTACAAGCCAGAAGGGAGTGGGGGCCAATATTCAAAATTCTTAAAGAATTTTAAACCCAAAATTTCATATCCAGCCAAACTAAACTTCATAGTGAATGAGAAATAAAATCCTTTACAGACAAGCAAATGCTGAGGGATTTCATTACAATCAGGCCTTCTCTTTAAGTGCTCCTGAAAGAAGCACTAAATATGGAAAGGAAAAACCAGTACCAGCCACTGCAAAAACACACCAAAACATAAAAACCAATGACACTATGAAGAAACTGCATCAACTAGTGTGCAAAATAACCAAAATAGCATCATGATGACAGGATGAAAATTTACACATAACAATACCAACCTTAAATCTAAATGGGCTAAATACCCCAATTAGAAGACATAGACTGGCAAATTGGATAAGGAGTCAAGACCCATTGGTGTGCTGTATTCAGGAGACCCATCTTATGTGCAAAGACACACACAGGCTCAAAATAAAGAGATGGAGGAAAATTTACCAAGCAAATGGAATCCTAAAATAAAAGCAGGGGTTGCAATTCTAGTCTCTGAATAAAGACTTTAAACCAACAAAGATAAAAAAAGACAAAAAAAAAGGCATTATATAATGGTAAAGAGAACCACTCAACAAGAAGAGCTAACTATTCTAAATATATATGCGCCCAATACGGCAGCACCCAGATTCATAAAACAAGTTCTTAGAGTCCTACAAAGAGACTTAGATTCCCACACAATAATAGTGAGAGACTTTAACACCCCACTGTCATTTTTAGACAGATCAACAAGACAGAAATTAACAAGAATATTTAGGACTTGAACTCAGTTCGGGATCAAGTGGACCTAGTAGATGTCTACAGAACTCTCTACCCCAAATCAACAGTATATACATTTTTCTCAGTGCCACATGGCACTTATTCTAAAATCGACCACATAATTTTAAGTAAAACACTCCTCAGCAAGTGCAAAACAATGGAAATCATAAAAAACAGTCTCTCAGACCACAGTGCAATCAAATTAAAACTCAGGATTAAGAAACTCACCTAAAACCACACAATTTCATGGAAATTGTAGGACCTGCTCCTGAATGGCTCCTGGGTAAATAATGAAATTAAGGGAGAAATGAAGATGTTCTCTGAAACCAGTGAGAACAAAGAGAGAACATATCAGAATCTCTGGGACACAGCTAAAGCAGTGTTAAGATGGAAATTTATAGCACTAAATGCTGACATCAGAAATCTAGAAAGATCTCAAATTGACACCCTAACATCACAATTAAAAAAACTAGAGAGACAACCTAATCCAAAAGCTAGTAGAAGACAAGAAATAACTAAGATCAGAGAAGAATTGAAGGAGATAGAGACACAAAACCCCTCCAAAAAATCAACAAATCCAGGAGCTGTTGTTTCTGAAAAAATTAACAAAATAGACTACTGGCTAAACTAATGAAGAAGAAAGAGAAGACTCAAATAGACACAATAAAAAATGATAAAGGGGATATCACCACTGACCCCACAGAAATACAAACTACCATCAGAGAACACTATAAACACCTCTACACAAATAAACTAGAAAATCTAGAAGAAATGGATAAATTGCTTGATGCGTACACCCTCCCAAGACTAAACCAGGAAGAAGTCTGATCCCTGAACAGATCAATAACAAGTTCTGAAATTGAGGCAGTAATTAATAGCCTACCAACAAAAAAAGGGCCCAGGACCAGACAGATTCACAGCTGAATCCTACCAGAAATACAAAGAGGAACTGGAGCCATCCCTTCTGAAACTATTTCAAACAATTGAAAAGGAGGGACTCCTCCTTAACTCATTTTATGAAGCCAGCATCATCCTGATACTCACACCAAAAAGAGACAACAACAACAAAAACAAAACTTCAAGGCAATATCCCTGATGAACATCGATGCAAAAATCCTCAATAAAATACTGGCAAACTGAATCCAGCAGCACATCAAAAAACTTATCCACCATGATCAAATCACCTTCATTCCTGGGATGCAAAGCTGGTTCAACATACGTGAATCAATAAACATAATTCATCACATAAAAAGAACCAAAGACAAAAACCACATGGTTATCTCAATAGATGCAGAAAAGGCCTTTGATAAAATTTTTTTGCTTTGCTCTTATAGTTTCCAGTGGGAAATCTGTGATTATTCTTACATTTGTTTATATGTCAGGGGTCTCATAGCCATCCCCACACTTTCTGTTTCACTAGAATGACTCAGAGGAATCAGAGGCAGTTGTATTCATGAAACAATTTATTACAATGGTCAGCAAGAGAGAAATTTGGAGTCTAAATGTATCCAGACTCTACATGTATTTTTTTTTTTCCTCTTCTGAGGGGCCACACATAAGTGTGAGTTTTCTCCAGCAACAAAAATGCAGTAATATATGTGCAATGTTTCTGCCCTGGGAAGTCCTTCAGAAACTCAATGTCCCCAAATTTGAAAAGAAGCCAGTCATGAAGGCATTCTATACCAGCCACAGTTATCAAAACTTCAGACTCCAAAAAGTAAAATAAGTTTTTAGTGTTCGAGGAAGGCAAAACAAACTTATCAGTGTAAGGAACCTTCTGGCATTCAGGTTCACAGATTACAGCCAAAGTATAGCCATATAAGTAAACTCTTCAAAAGATCAACCCTGCTATGTTAATTCCTATTTGCACTTTGTCCAATATGTCCTTACTTGAAAACTATTATTAGAAGTGTTTCAGGTGGCAAGATAAGGCCAATCTGCAGTATTCATAATGGCCCTGAGTTTCACCAGATAAAACAGATCCTATTAATGATATGGATCTTTATTAGGAAACAGGTGGCCTTCTCATGTTTCTATATTAACATTTTCCCCTGTCCTAAAGCATTAATTTAGATACAGATAATATGCTAATAATTTATACAGATGTCAACTCAGCATGCAAGGCACATGTCTATGGCAAATTGTAATATCTATAACAATTCTGGTGAGTGAATTGATGTTGATTTGAAGACTTTTCAGAGCTAAGGTAATGGCATGGCCACTTAACGAAAGCCAGGGAACACACGCAGACTCATAATTCTGGAAGACACACATGATACCTCCAGCACAGGTATCCTTTGTAAATACTTTTTTATTGATATGTAAAACTTTTAAATATTTTTGGAAAGCATGTGATATTTTGATACCTTTATACAATGTGTAATGTTCAAATCAGGCTAGTTGGGATACTTATCACCTCAAATATTTATCTTTCTTTGTGTTGGGAGCATTGAAAATCTTCTCTTCTAGCTATTTTGAAAACTACAATACCACATTTTTTTTAATCCATTTATCCATTGACTAATTCTTAGGTTACTTTCATATCTTGGCTATTGTGAATAATGCTGGAATAAATACGAAAGTGCAAATATGTCTTGAATGTACTCATTTCCTTCTTTTGAATATATACCCAGCAGTAGGATTATTAGATAATTTATTATTAGATTATCCTACTGCTGGTAGTTCTTTTTTAAATTATACTTTAAGTTCTGGGATACTTGTGCAGAACCTGCATGTTTGTTACATAGGTATACACATGCCATGGTGGTTTGCAGCACTCATCAACCCATCATCTACATTAGGTATTTCTCCTAATGCTATCCCTCCCCTAGCCCCCAACCTGCCAACAGGCTCCAGTGTGTGATGTTCCCCTCCCTGTGTCCAGTTGTTCTCATTGGTCAACTCCCAATTATAAGTGAGAACATGTGGTGTTTGGTTTTCTGTTCTTGTGTTAGTTTGCTGAGAATCATGGTTTGCAGCTTCATCCATGTCCCTGCTTAGGATTGTCTTGGTTATGCGGGCCCATTATTGATTCCATATGAAATTTAAAGTAGTTTTTTCTAATTCTGTGAAGAAAGTCACTGGTAGCTTGATGGGGATAGCATTCAATCTATAAATTACTTTGGGCAGTATGGCCATTTTCATGATATTGACTCTTCCTATCCATGAGCATGGAATGTTTTTCCATTTGTTTGTGTCCTCTTTTATTTCCTTGAGCAGTGATTTGTAGTTCTCCTTGAAGAGGTCCTTCGCATCTCTTGTAAATTTTATTCGTAGGTATTTTATTCTCTTTGTAGCAATTGTGAATGGGAGTTCACTCATGATTTGGCTCTCTGTTTGTCTATTACTGATGTGTAGGAATGCTTGTGATTTTTGCACATTGATTTTGTATCCTGAGACTTTGCTGAAGTTGCTTATCAGCTTAAGGAGATTTGGGGCTGAGATGACGGGGTTTTCTAAATATACAATCATGTCATCTGCAAACAGAGACAATTTGACTTCCTCTCTTCCTATTTGAATACCCTTTATTTCTTTCTCTTGCCTGATTAGCCTGGCCAGAACTTCCAATATTTGTTGAATAGGAGTGGTGAGAGAGGGCATCCTTGTCTTGTGCCAGTTTTCTCTCAACATTTGCTTGACTGTAAAGGATTTTATATCTCCTTCACTTATGAAGCTTAATTTGGCTGAATATGAAATCCTGGGTTAAAAATTCTTTTCTTTAAGAATGTTGAATATTGGCCCCCACTCTCTTCTGGCTTGTAGGGTTTCCGCAGAGAGATCCACTGTTAGTCTGGTGGGCTTCCCTTTGTGGGTAACCCGACCTTTCTTTCTGGTTGCTCTTAACATTTTTTCTTCATTTCAACCTTGGTGAAGCTGACGATTGTGTGTCTTGGGGTTGCTCTTCTCAAGGAATATGTTTGTGGTGTTCTCTGTATTTCCTGATTTACATGTTGCCCTGTCTTGCTAGGTTGGGGAAGTTCTCCTAGATAATATCCTGAAAAGTGTTTCCCAACTTAGTTCCATTCTCCCCGTCACTTTCAGGTGCACCAATCAAACATAGGTTTGGTCTTTTCACATAGTCCCGTATTTCTTGGAGGCTTTGTTCATTCCTTTTCATTCTTTTTGTCTCTAATCTTGTCTTCACACTTTATTTCATCAAGTTGATCTTCAATCTCTGATATCCTTTCTTCTGCTTGGTCGATTCGGCTATTGATACTTGAGTATGCTTCACAAAGTTCTTGTACTGTGTTTTTCAGCTCCATCAGGTCATTTATGTTCTTCTCTAAACTGGTTATTCTAGTTAGCAATTCCTCCAACCTTCTTTCAAGGTTCTTAGCTTCATTGCATTGGGCTAGAATATGTTCCTTTAGCTTGGAGGAGTTTGTTATTACCCACCTTCTGAAGCCTACTACTGTCAATTTGTCAAACTCATTCTCCGTCCAGCTTTGTTCCCTTGCTGGTGAAGAGTTGTGATCCTTTGGAGGAGAAGAGGCATTCTGCTTTTTAGGATTTTCAGCCTTTTTGCGCTGGTTTTTCCTCATCTTCATGGATTTATCTACCTTTGGCCTTTGACGTTGGTGACCTTCAGATGTGGTTTTTGTGTGAACTTTTTTTGGTTGATGTTGATGGTATTCCTTTCTGTTTGTTAGTTTTCCTCCTAACTGTCAGGCCCCTCTGCTGCAGGTCTGCTGCAGGTCTGCTGCAGTTTGCTGGAGGTCCACTCCAGACCCTGTATGCCTGGGTATCACCAGCTGAGGCTGCAGAACAGCAAAGATTGCTGCCTGTTTCTTGCTCTGGAAGCTTCGTCCCAGAGGAGCACCTGCCAGATGCCACCAGGAGCTCTCCTGTATGAGGTGTCTGTTGACCCCTGCTGGGAGGTGTCTCCCAGTCAGGAGGCACAGGGGTCAGGGACCCACTTGAGGAGGCAGTCTGTCCCTTAGCAGAGCTCAAGCACTGTGCTGGGAGACCTGCTGCTCTCTTCAGAGCCAGCAGGCAGGAACATTTAAATCTGCTCAAGCTGCACCCACAGCTGCCCCTTCCCCTAGGTGCTCTGTCCCAGGGAGATGGGAGTTTTATCTATAAGCCCCTGACTGGAGCTGCTGCCTTTCTTTCACTGATGCCCTGCCCAGAGAGGAGGAATCTAGAGAGGCAGCCTGGCTACAGTGGCTTTGCTGAGTTGTGGTGGGCTCGGCCCAGTCTGAGCTTCCCAGAGACTTTGTTTACAGTGTGAAGGAAAAACTGCCTACTCAGGCCTCAGTAATGGTGAACACTCCTCCCCCAACAAAGCTTGGGCATCCCAGGTCGACTTCAGACTGCTGTGCTGGCAGTGAGAATTTCAAGCCAGTGGATCTTAGTTTGCTGGGTTCTGTTGGGGTGAGATCCACTGAGCTAGACTACTTGACTCCCTGGCTTCAGCCCCCTGTCTAGGGGATTTAACTATTCTGTCTCACTGGCATTCCAGGCGCCACTGGGGTATGAAAACAAACAAACAAACAAAAAAACTCCTGCAGCTAGCTCAGTGTTTACCCAAAAGGCCTCCCAGTTTTGCGCTGGAAACCCAGGGCCCTGGTGGTGTAGGCACCTGAGGGAATGTCCTGGTCTGCGGGTTGTGAAGACCATGGGAAAAACATATTATCTGGGCCAGAGTGCACCATTTTTCATGGCACAGTCTCTCACAGCTTCCCTTGGCTAGGGGAAGGAGTTCCCTGACCCCTTGTGCTTCCCAAGTGAGGTGATGCCCCACCCTGCTTTGGCTCACCCTCCGTGAGCTGCACCCACTGTCTAACCAGTCCCAATGAGATGAGCCAGGTACCTCAGTTGGAAATGCAGAAATCACATGCCTTCTGCTTTGATCTCACTGGGAGCTGCAGACCCGAGCTATTCCTATTTGGCCATCTTCTGGCTTTACTCTTACACTTTACCTTCCCACTAACAGTGTATGAATGTTTCCCTATTTAGGCATCCTCATCAGCACTTGTTATATTTTTGTCTTTCTAATAATAACCATTCTAAATTCTGTTAGACAATATCTCATTGTGGTTTTTGATTTGCATTTCCTTGATGATTAGTGATGTAGAGCTTTTTTTAATAAACCTGTTAGGTATTTGTGTGTCTTCTTCTGAGAAATGTCTATTTAGGCTTTTTGCACATTTTGTGAATTGGATTATTTCTTTTATGTTACTGAGTTGTGTGAGTTATTTTTATATTATAGTTATTAATCCCTTGTGGAATAGATCATTTATAATATTTTCTTCCATTCTGAAGGTTTTCCCTCACTTTGTTGACAGCTTCCTTTACTTTGCAGAAACTTTCAAGCTTGATGCAATCTCATTTGTCTATTTCTGATTTTGGATTTTGTTGTCTGTCCTTGTAGGCCTCACCCAAAACCTTTTGCCCAGCTCGATGTCCTGAAGTGTTTTCCCAAAATTTTCCTTAAGCAGTTTCTTAGTTCCAGGTGTTCCATTTAAGTTTTTGTTTGTTTGTTTGTTTGTTTTGAGATGGAGCCTTGCTCTGTGGCCCAGGCTGGAGTGCAGTGGCGCAATCTTGGCTCACTGCAACCTCCCCCTCCTGGGTTCAAGCAGTTCTGCCTCAACCTCTCAAGTAGCTGGGACTACAGGTGCAGGCCACCCTGCCTGGCTAAACATTTAAGTTGTTAATCCATTTTGACTTGATGTTTGTATATGGTAACAGATGAGAAATCCAGTTTTATTATTATGTATATGAATATCCAATCTTCCCAGCACTGTTTATTAAAGAGACTATCTTTTCCACAACGCACAGTTTTGGCACCTCTATTGAAAATTAGATAGTTGTAAAGGCATGGATCTGTATCTGTGTTACCTGTTCTATTACATCGTCCAATTCTATTCCATTGCTCATGCTTTTTCTTATGCTAGCACCATGCTGTTTCAGTTAACATAACTTTATTGTATAATATGAAATCAGGTTGTGTGATTCCTCTAGCTTTTGTCTCTAACCACTTTTGCTTTTTGGTCTCTGTGGTCACATACAAGTTTTACTATTTTTTTTTATGTGAAGAATGCCGTTGGCATTTTCATATGAATTGTATTGATTTTTTTTTTATTTCAAATTCAGGGGTACATGTACAAGTTTGTTACATTGATATATTCTGCAATGCTGAGGTTTGGGCTTCTCTTCAACCTGTCAAATAGTGAACATAGTAGCCAATAGGGACTTTTTCAACCCGGGCATCCCCTCCCTGTCTCCCATCTTTGAAGTCCCCAGTGTCTATTGTTTTCATCTTTATGTCCATGTGCACCCATTGTTTAGCTCCCACATCTAAGTAAGAACACGTGGTATTTAATTTTCTGTTTCTGTTTTAGTTCCCTTAAGATAATGAGCTCCAGCTGCATCTAAGTTGCTGCAAAGAACATGCTTTCATTATTATTTTTTGGCTGCATAGTATTCCATGGTGTACATGTACCACATTTTGTTAATTTGATTGAATGTTGATGGAACCTAGGTTGATTCCATGGCTTTGTTATTGTGAGCAGTGCTACAATAAACATACAAGTGCAGGTGTATTTTTGATAGAATATCTATTTTCTTGGATCTAAACCTAGTGATGGGACTGCTGGGTGGAATTGTGGTTCTATTTTTCGTTTATTGAGGAATCTCCAAACTGCTTTTCATAGGGGCAGAACTAATCTACCTTCCCACAAGTATTATTATTGAGAGGTGAAGCCGGCTGGGCTTCTGGGCAGGGTGGGGACTTGGAGAACTTTTCTGTCTAGCTAAAGGATTGTAAATGCACCAATCAGCACACCAATCAGTGATCTGTGTCTAGCTAAAGGTTTGTAAACGCACCAATCAGCACTCCGTAAAAATGCACCAATCAGCGCTCTGTGTCTAGCTAAAGGTTTGTAAATGCACCAATCAGCACTCTGTAAAAATGCACCAATCAGCGCTCTGTGTCTAGCTAAAGGTTTGTAAATGCACCAATCAGCACTCTGTAAAAACACACCAATCAGTGCTCTGTGTCTAGCTAAAGGTTTGTAAACACACCAATCAGCACTCTGTAAAAACGGGCCAATCAACACTCTGTAATATGGGCCAATCGGCAGGATATGGGTGGGGCCAAATAAGGGAATAAAAGCTGGCCACCTAAGCCAGCAGTGGCAACTTCCTGCTGTGGAAGCTTTGTTCTTTCAGTCTTCACAATAAATCTTGGTGCTGCTCACTCTGTGGGTCCACACTACCTTTATGAGCTGTAACGCTCACTGCGAAGGTCTGCGGCTTCACTCCTAAAGTCAGCAAGACCATGAACCCACCAGAAGGAAGAAACTCTGGACACATCTGAACATCTGAAGGAACACACTCTGGACACACCATCTTTAAGAACTGTAACACTCACTGCGAGGGTCCGCAGCTTCGTTCTTGTCAGCGAGACCAAGAACCAACCAGAAGGAATCAATTCCAGACACATTATGTGTTCCCTGCACCCTTGACAATATCTATTATTTTTTGACTTTTTAATAATCATTATTCTGACTGGCATGAGTTGGTATCTCATTGTGAGTTCAATTTCCATTTCTTTGATTATTAGTGATGTTGAACTTTTTTTTCAATATACTTATTAGCCACTTGTATGTTTTTTTTTTTTGAGAAGCATCTGCTCATATCCTTTGCTCACTTTTTGATGGGGCTACCTGTTTTGTTTCTTGTTATGTTTAAGATTCTTGTGAATTTAGGACATTAGTCCTTTGTTAAATGCATAGTTTGCAAATATTTTCTACCATTCTGTAGGCTATGTGTTGACTGTGTAGATAGTTTATTTTGCTATGCAGAAACTCTTTAGTTTAATTAGATACCATTTGTCAATTTTTGCTTTTATAGCAAAATATGGATCCAGTTTAATTTTCCTGCATGAAGCTAGCCAATTTCCCAGTACCACTTATTGAACGAGGTCTCCTATCCCCAGTGTTTATTTTTGTCATTCTTTTTGAAGATCAGTTGGGTGTAGGTATGTGGCTTTGTTTCTGGGTTCTCTATTCTGTTCCATTGGTCTATATGTCCATTTTGTAATAGTGCCATGCTTCATTTTGTTTTTGTTTTTGCTTTTGGTTCTCTGTAGGCTTATGATATGATTTGGCTGTGTCCCCACGGAAATCTCATCTTGAATTGTAGTTCCCATAATCCCCACATGGCTGTGTGTCATGGGAGGGACCTGGTGGGAGGTAATTGAATCATGGGGTGGTTACCTCCATGCTATTCTCGTGATAATGAGTGAGTTCTCACAAGAGCTGATGGTTTTATAAGTGGCTTTCGTCTTTTGCTTGGCAATTCACCTTCCTGCCACCATGTGAAGAATGGCATGTTTGCTTCCCTTTACTCCATGATGGTAAGTTTCCTAAGGCCTCCCCAGCCCTGCAGAACTGTGAGTCAACTAAACCTCTTTTCTTTATAAACTACCCAGTCTCAGGCAATTCTTTACAGCAGCATGAGAACAAACTAATACACATTTTAATAAAGTTTGAAGTCAGATTACATGATGTGTCTTGCTTTATTCTTTTGTGTAAGATTGCTTTGGCTATTTAGGCTCTTTTATTTGGTATCTTTTAAATTATATAATTATTTTTTAATTCTGTAAACATTATGTTGGTAATTTCATAGGAATAGTGTTGAATTTGTATATGTCTTTGGGTAGTATATGGATTTTGATGATATTGATTCTTTCAATTTATGAGCATAGAATTGTCTTCCTTCTGTTTGTGTCATCTGTAATTTCTTTCGTCTTTCTTTTGTAGTTGTCTTTATAGAAATCTATCAACTACTGGCCAGGTGGGGTGGCTCACGCCTGTAATCCCAGCACTTTGGGAGGCCGAGGCAGGTGGATCACAAGGTCAGGAGATCGAGACCATCCTGGCTAACATGGTGAAACCCTGTCTCTACTAAAAATACAAAACAAAAAAATTAGCTGGGTGTGGGGGCAGGCACCTGTAGTCCCAGCTACTCAGGAGGCTGAGGCAGGAGAATGGCGTGAACCCGAGAGGTGGAGCTTGCAGTGAGCCAAGATTGCGCCACAGCACCCCAGCCTGGGCAACAGAGCGAGACTCCACCTCAAAAAAAAAAAAAAAAAAAGAAAGAAAGAAAAAGAAATCTATCAACTACTTGGTTAGATATATTGGTAGGTTTTTTTGTCGTTTTTGTAAATGAAACTGCATTCTTGATATGGTTCTCACCTTGAATGTTATTAGTGTATAGAAATGCTACTGACTTGTGTACATTGATTTTGTATCCTGAAACTTTACTAAATTCATGTTTCTAATCTACGAGTCTTTTGGAGGAATCTTCAGGATTTTCTAGGTATAGAATCATAACCTTAGTGAACAGAGATAATTTACCTTTCTTTTTTCCGATTTAGATGCATTTTATTTCTTTATCTTGCCTTATTGTTCTGACTAGGACTTCCAGTACTATGTTGAATAGGAGTGGTGAGAGTGAATATCCTAGTCTTGTTCCAGTTTTTAGGGGCAATGCTTTCAACTTTTGCCTCCTCAGGATGATGTTGACATTGGATTTTCTCATAAATGGCTCTTAATATTTTGAGTTGTACTACTTCAACGCGTAGTTTTTTTTAGGGATTTTGTCATGAAGAGATATTTGATTTTATCAAATGCTTTTTCTGCATCTATTTAGGTTTTATACAGTTTTTTTATTAATTCAGTTTATTTGGTAAATCATGTTCATTGATTTGTGTATATTGAGTCATCTTTGTATTTCAGAAATAAAGCCCCCTCATTTTTTATGAATTATCTTTTTGATCTGCTGCTGGATGCTGTTTGTTAATTTTTTTAGGGGACTTTCATTTCTTTGTTCAGACAACAGCAAAGAAATAAAACGAGAAGATTATTGTCTTTGGTTTTAATTCCTTTATTGTGTCATTGACAGATTTTGTTATCAGGATGATACTGTTTTCATCAATTAGTCAGGGAGAAATGCTTCCTTGTCAATCTTTTGGAATAATTTCTGTATGATTGCTACCACCTCTTCTTTGTACATCTGGCAGAGATTGATTATTAATCCGTCTGGCCCAGGGCTTTTGTTGGTGGGTAGTTTTCTTATTACAAATTCTATTTCATAACTCATTATTGGTCTGTTTAGTGTTTCAATTTTTTCCTGGTTCAATATTGCAGGTTATGTGTTTCTAGGAATTTACCCATTTCATTTGGATTTTCTATTTTGCACATATAGAAGTGTTCATGAAAGTGTCTGAAAATCTGTTCTATTTCTGTAAGATGATGTATAATGCCATCTTTGTCATTTCTCATTTTACATATCTGGATTCTCTTTTATTTCTTTTACAATCTACCTGGTGGTCTATCAATGTTGTTTATTCTTTCGAAAAACTAGTTTTTGTTTTATTTATAATTTGTATGGCTTCTTTGGTCTGAATTTCATGTAGTTCTCCTCTGATCTTAACTCTTTTTTATGATAGTTTTGAATTTTGTTCATCTTTGATTTTCTAGTTCCTTTATGTGTGACATTGGTTTGTTAATTTGAGAATGTTCTAACTTCTTCATGTAGGCATTTAGCACTATAGATGTTCCTCTTAACTTTGTTTTGGCCATATCTCAGAGATTTTAGTTTATTGTGTGTCTATTTTTATTTGTTTCAAATAATTTTTTGATCTATGACTTAATTTCATTCTTTACCCAGAAACAATTAAGAGGCAAGTTGCTTAGTTTTCATGTATCTAAATATTCAGGTACTGGAATGTCAAAGGTCACCATTCATATTCAACCCAAATAACAATACCCCAATATATATTATAATAAACTCTCAAAGGTCAAAGACAATGCAATCCTGCAAGAAGTGAGAGAAAAGGAGAAAAAAACACATAAGGGAGATTCAATACTCCTAGAAGAAGACTTCTTAGCAGAAAACGTACAGGCCAGGAGGGAGAGGGGCAATATATTCATAGTACTGAAGAAAAAATATTGTAATAAAAAAATACTGAATCCAGACAAGCTGTCCTTTAGAAATGAAGGAGATATGACAACTTTCCCAGACAAACAAAAGCTGAGGGAATTTATTAATGCCAGACATGTCTCATCAGAAATGCTAAAGAAAGTTCTTCAAACGTAGAAGTATGTTAAAGTGATTGTTACCCAAATATTGTCATCATAGTGTGTAACCCATTTATATCTTCAGTAAGAAAATTAAAGAAAAAAACTATTAAAATAACAACTACAACAATTTATTTAGAGATAGACAATATAAAAATGTAAATTTTGACATCAAAAATTCAAAATGTGGGGGGCAAAGGAAGTTAATGTTTACAGGGTTTTTTGTTGGTTCATTTATTTTATTGTAATAAAAGTTAAGTTGCTATTAAGTTATAAATAACTTTTTATAGCTCTAGGATTTTTATAAGCTTCATGTAACCACAAGCGGAAAACCTGTAGCAGACACACTACAAATAAAAAATAAACAATGAATCAAAACATTCTACCAGACAAAATTACATAACCTCAAAGAAAGTTAGTAGAAAAGGAGTAATAAAAGAGAGGAGTTACAAAACAACTAAAAAACAAGTAACTAAATGACAGTAGTAATTGTTAACATTTAATAATAATATTGACTGTAAATGTACTAAATTATTGAATTAAAGACATAATGTGGCTGATTTTGATTAAAAAACAAGACCCGACAAGTTGCTTTCTACAAGAAAATCACTCCACCTATAAAGACACACATAAAATAAAAGTTAAGGGATGGAAAAGGATATGCCATCCAAATAGAAACCATTTAGGAGCAGGAGTAGCTTTGCTTGTGTAACATAAAATGGACTTGGTCTAAAACTGTAGCAAGAGACAAAGAAAGTCATTATATAATGATAAAGGTGTCAATTGAGAAAGAGAACATAACAATAGTAAATATATATGTACTCAACACTGGAGCACTAGAATATATAAAGGAAATATTGTTAGATCTAAATGAAGAGATACTGCAATGCAATAATAACAGAAGACTTCAACACCTTACTTTTAGCAATGGACAGATCATTTAGGCCGAAAATCAACAAAGAAACATCACAGTTAAACTACTCTATGATCTAGAGCAAATTGACCTAACAGAACACTTCAGAACACTTGATTCAACAGCTATAGCATACACATGTTTTTTTCGCATCGGCACATGAAATATTTCCCAGGATAGACCTTATGTTCAGTCACAAAAAAGTCTCAAAAATTCAAAAAATAAAAATCATATCAAGTAAGTTTTCTAACCACAACAGAATAAAACTATGAAATCTATAGCAAGTAGAGCTCCAGAAACTGTACAAATACATGGAACTTAATGTACTCCTGAATGACCAATGGGACAATGAAGAAATTAAAAATAAAAATTTAAAAGATTTTTAAACAAGTAAAATAGAAGCTCAACATACCAAAAGCTATGAGTTAAGTAAAAGCAGTACTAAAAGTGAAGTTTACAGCAAAAACAAAACCAAACAAACAAACAAACAAAAAACACCCACATCGAAACAATGGAAAGAAGTCAAATAAATAACCTGATTATGTACTTCAAGGAAATAGAAAGGCAAAAACAATCCAAACCCAACATTAGTGTAAACAAGTTTTTACAAAATTTTTGTATACCTTGTAGCAAATTTTTTTTGTAACTAGAGCATTGATTCATTTATATTTATTATTAAGATTATATATTATGACTTATTTTTGTCTTTTCTGTTTGTGCTATTTTTCTAATTTATTTATCTTTCTTAAATGTTTCTGGATCTACAGTTTTTCTATGCCTTATTACACATTTGTTTTTGGTAGTGTTCTTTTGGTGACTATTGGTATTATTTTAAAATGCATACTTAATATAGCAACATGAAAAATTAATGTACATCTTCAACATTTTCCAGTTCATATATGAAATGACTTCTTGAGTTTCAATCACTTATTTTAGGATGTATTGATAACCTTGTCCTCTACCCTGGGCAATACTGCCTCAACTACCATGGGGTTCCTTAGCCGTTGGGTTTGTAACCTGTAAAACTGTTTAAGATGTGCCTTTGGTTAGTTGACAAGCAGTTGATTATATACAGGAAAAATCATTGTAAAGAAAAAGTAATACATTAGTTATTATCTTTGATTAAGCTTTTTCTGTTTTGTTTTTATTCTCAGCATCCTAGTCCTTAATATCCTCTGATAACAGTATAAAAGAAGTATGAAATAATAATTGCAAATGCACCAATTACTTCCAAACCAGGATGAAAGTTGCTCAAAAGAACTTATTTTTAGCTACATTTCTTCTGGGAAAAAATGTATTCTGCAATTAGCATTTCTAAATGTATCTTTATATCGTGCCATGGTTACTAAAACATTTTACATAAAACATAATTTGAAGAAATAAAGAATGCCCTTTAAGATGGGAGGCTGAGAAAGGAGAATCGCTTGAACCTGGGAGGCCGAGGTTGCAGTGAGCCGAGATCTTGCCACTGCACTCCAGCCTAGGTGACAGAGTGAGACTATCTCAAAAAAAAAAGATATAGATTATTAAGTGCAGTCTTCTTGTTGTACAATAGATCTCTTGAATTTATTCCTCCTATATGATGACATTTTGTATTATTTGACCAATATTTTTCCACCTCATTCCCCTGGCCCCAGTTAACTACCATTCTACTCTCTACTTCTAGGAGTTTAACTATTTAAAATGCACGTGTAAGTGAGGTCCTATAGTATTAGTCTTTCTTTTCCTGGTTTATTTCACTTAATACAATGTCCTCTAGCTTCATTCATGTTGTCATAAATGGCAGAATTGTATTCTTTTTAAAGGCTAAATAATATTCCATTGTGTATATATGCCTCATTTTCTGTATTCTTCTGTTGATGGACAGTTAGGTTAGTTCTATATCCTTGAAATTGTGAACAATGCTGCAGTAACCATAGGCCTGCAGATATCTCTTCAGCATACTTATTTATGTGTTTTTGGAAAATCACTAAAAGAGTGATTTTAAGTGTTCTCACCACAAAAAAGTGTTCAACCTGTGAACTAATGCATAGGTTAATTAGCTTAATTTAGCCATTCCACAATGTATACATATTTCAAGCCATCTTATTGCACACGACAAATTTATACAAGTTTTGTCAACCAAAAAATTATTTTTTAAAAGAAAATAAAACATAAAATAGTCACACATATAGCAAAATTTGAGACATAAATCTAATCACATCAATAACTGCAACACATTCTAATGGACTATATCCACCAGTCAAAGAGGAGAGATGTTCCAACCAGATAAATAAATCAATGCAAAATACTATATTTTATATGATTCTATTAAAATTAAATATCCAGAAAAGACTTCTTTATAGAGACATAATGCAGATTGGTTGTGTGCGGCTGGAAGGATTAGTGACAATAGACTGCAAATGAGCATAGGGCAACTTTTTGAAGTGATGGAAATGTTCTAAAACTGATTTATGGTCATGGATGGCAGCATAACTCATTGATTTACTAAAAAAAATCATTGAACTGTACGCTCATAATTCTGTGGCATGTAAATTGTAATGAATAAAGCTATTAAAATATAATTCATTAAAGCATTACATGCAGTAATCAAAGAACATCACTGAAAATCAAGAGGGCAATTTTTAAATGGTCTCCCAGTCTGCCTTCCTCCCATCGGCAGGATTAACATTTAGGCCACAGATTACACATGAAATTCTTTGTATTATCAATTACTTCATTATTTTTAATTGAAAACTCATTCAAGGTACACATTTACCTTGATAATTATGTTGCCAGTAAAACTGATGATATACAAATGTGCTATAGTGGATCTAGTTCTGCAGTTGATAAGAGCATACAGCCTTTTGACTAATAGATAACTCTGCTCACTTACATATAAAATATAGTACTACGGGATAAATGTGTCTTTCAAAATTCATATGTTGAAACGTAACCACCAATGTGATAAGTTTGAAGTGGGGCCTTTAGGATGTTTTAAGTCACGAGGGCAGATGTTTATGAAATGACATGACGGAGTGGATTGATCCTTTTTGTTCCTTCTTCCATGTGAGATTGCAGTGTTTTTCCCTTCTGGAAGATACAACAAAATGATGCCATCTTTGAAGTAGGGACTCAAATGGAAACTCAATATACCAAGTTATGGGCTAAGCAAAAGCAGTATTAAGATTGCTGCTTTTGGCAGATACCCAATCTGCCAGCACATTCACCTTGGATTTCCAGAACTGTGAGAAATAAATTACCATTCTTTATAAATTACCCAGCCCTGGGTACTTTGCTACAGCAATACAAATGGACTAAGATGGAAAATTTTCTATATATGAACTCTAGTAAAAACATCACTTGGATATAAATATATTAAAACATTATTGCAAAAAGACTATAAAACTATTTCCCCCACATGTAGAAGAAAATGTGCCAGAAGGTCATGTTTAAAATTATATTCTTAATGGAAATTAATTACCCAGACACAGTTGCCTAGTTACCAACAATCCTAGTAGATAACCTGTTCATTAACTTGTAAAATTTTTATGACTTGTAAAACCTTCAGAAATATTCCATTCATATCTAATATAAGCCTTAATTTTACAAACAATCATAACTTTTGCAGGGTACCTTCAAATCCATATTTATGTAACCCACTTTGAATTATAACTTTGTAATGCTGAACTGTCCATATATCTTTATAATCAATTTATACCTAACAAGATACTAGATACTCTGCAAAACTTTGCTACTGCTGCTACTACTGCCATTACTGCTGCTACTACTATTATTACTGCTACTACTGTTATACTACCACTATTAATACTAATGGCTAATATTTGTTTTGCTCTTATTATATTCCAGACATTATGCTAAATGGCATAAAATATTATTCAATTTAATCCCTATCATGACTCATCTATGTAAGTGCAAAGTTACAACTACTATTTTATTTTATCCATATTGTGACTCATCTATCTAAGTAATCTTATTTCACCATTTTATAAATAATAAATCTGGGGCTTAGAGTAAATAAAGTGGATAAATAAAGTTTGCTACACCCAGATGATGGACTATTATTTAGAGCTAAAAATAAATGATGTATTAAGCCATGAAGGACATGGAAGTTAAAATGCCCACATATCACTCAGTAAAATAAGCCAATTTGAAAAAGTTACATACTATATGATTCTAGCTAGATGACATTCTAGAAAAGGCACAACAATGTTGGAATATTGGAGCCAATTAAAAATTCAGTTTGCCCAGGATTAGGGAAATGGAAAAGATGAGTAGGTGGAGGCAGAAGGATTTTCAGAGTAGTGAAGCTACACTGTATGATACTATAATGGTGGACATATGTCATTATGCATTTGTCCAAAACTCATAGAACGTACACAAAAAGTGAATCCTAGTGTAAACTATGGACTCTGAGTAATAATGATGTGTCAATTTAGGTTCATCAATTATAACAAATGTACCACTCTGATGGGGAATTTTGAGAATGGGGGAGGTTATGCATGTGTGGGAGTAGTGGGTATATGGAAAATCTCAATACCTTCAGCTCAATTTTGGTGTGATCCTAAAATTGCTCTAAATATTAAAGTCTATTAAAAATATCTGAAGAGAGCTAGAAAAAAATTGAAAATAATGATCAATGAAAGAAGACTAATTCTAACTGGTTATAAACAAATTTTGATTATTTTTATCACACACCACATTCAACATATCAGGAATTCTATCCACAATATAGTTAGAATCAGTCCTCTCTTTAGCTTTTCCACCTCTATCTTTTAATATGTTATTATATTAAGTGGAATACTGTAAAAATCCTTTAGATAGAATTCTTGATTCTGCTTTCGCCCTCTGAAAATTAGTTCTGCAATCATTAGCCACAGGAATTTTCCTGAAATAAACATGTCTTGTGATTTCTCATTTTCCAAACCCCAATGTCTTCCCATTGTGCTCAGAAAAAATACAGAGTTTCTTATTATTTTATCAGGTTCTATTCGCTGCCAACCTCTAAGACCTCACTGGTATTCACTCACCTTCATATGCATTATATTTTATTTACAGTGGTCTTTTATTTTTATTTTTCTTTGTTTTTCTTATTTATCAAACATACCAATATAACTCATGCCTTACCTTTATTCTTTCTGCCTGGAGCTCTCTGTCCCCATATCTTCAACAGGCTGGTCATTTCTTGTTATTCGAGTCTCAGCACAAATGTCACCTAATCTAACTTCCCCTGTCCCCTTACCGTGCTCTATCAGCTCACCCTGTCTTATTTGCTTTTCTACCTAAAATCTTTTGATTTATTGGATAATTTGTTGGCTTGTGCCCCTTACTATAATAAACGCACTCTAAGAGCAGACAGTCACCTTTCTTGTTATGTCTACTGCTGTATTCTTAGCTCATTTTATGGCTCTGTTACCTAAAACAGTTTAAACATACACAAAGATAAATAAACACACAATTTAGTTGTAAACTAGTTCAATTATTTTAAGGAACATTTTATGCTATATATGAAAACTTAAAATGAGCTCATTTTTTCACCAAGAAATCTGAGTGCTACATTTTTTTAGAAATATTCTTTTATATACGTACAAACAAATGTATAGAATGATGTTAATCACATAAATGTCTGTAATAGTAAAAACAAAACTGGAAACTATGTAACTAACAAAATACTAACAAAATAGTACTAGTACTAACATTAGCACTAACAAAATAATATTATTTTTACACAAGGGGGCATTATGCAGCTGTTTAAAAAACATGTCGCAATTCAATGGTATTGTATAGCTTCATATGATTCATCTATGTTGTTGCATGTATCAACACTTCATTCCTTTTTTATTACTGAGTTATATTTTATTTTATGGGTAAACCACCTGTTCATAAACATTTCAGTTTGTTCTACTTTTCAGCTACCACAAATAAAAATGTGTACCACTCTGCATGGATGCTTGCATAAATTTTGGACATATATATATATATATATCCTGGAATAATATACAAGAAAATGCTGAAAATGTTTATCTCTTTTCTACAGGGCTAGAAGCTGGAGTTGGAAAGAGAAATGCACACACATTTCCTTGTTTATATATGTTTATATTTTTGAACATACATGTATTTTATAGTCATAACCATTAAAATAACAAATCTATTACCTTGGGATATAAGCACTCAACTTTCAAAATTGAATGGATTGCTGATCATTTGGTTTTTGTTAGCTTTGGCTTTTTTTTATTATACTTTAAGTTTTAGGGTACATGTGCACCACGTGCAGGTTAGTTATATATGTATACATGTGCCATGTTGGTGTGCTGCACCCATTAACTCGTCATTTAACATTAGGTATATCTCCTAATGCTATCCCTCCCCCCTCCCCCTACCCCACAACAGGTCCCGGTGTGTGATGTTCCCCTTCCTGTGTCCATGTGTTCTCATTGTTCAATTCCCACCTATGAGTGAAAACATGCGGCGTTTGGTTGTTTTAATAACTTTTCTACTTTTCTTGAAACGCTCGAGGTTGTAAACAGGGCAGATGCTCTGAAATTAAACTATGATCAACATTTATCTTGATTTATAAGATTTATATTCTTTTGAATATCATCTCTTACCTGGTATGAATAAAAGTTGTTTCACTTTTTAAAATTATAAATGAAATTCAATGTAACCTACATATATGGTAATTAAAAAGCAAACATTTCCTCTATATATTGTGTAAAGACAAGTATGCATCTATGGTTACTGGTTAATTAATAATAAAATTGTGAGAAGTAAATTTATTCAATTAAGACTATGTTATATTAAAATCAAATTTCATGTATTTAGCATTATTAATAGTTTTTGTTAATAATAGGCTGTATATCATAAATTATATTAAAACATATTATTTATTAGTCAAGTACTCAATCTTTGCAACCTTTTTCATTTATTTATTTCAGATGATTTGAACCAAGGAT
Organism: Homo sapiens; assembly: GCF_000001405.40. Classification (NCBI taxonomy): domain Eukaryota; kingdom Metazoa; phylum Chordata; class Mammalia; order Primates; family Hominidae; genus Homo; species Homo sapiens. Next base: position 88,680,149 of record NC_000023.11, on the reverse strand, counting down.
AGATGAAGAAAATATTGCAGAGCAATCTTGTATGTGCTTCAGTACTTATAAGATATGATTAATGAGATTCCAAAATGTGATTTTAACTGGTTCAGGGTCCTTCTTATTCACAAAATTTAAAAGCATTAAGATATATTTTTTCTTTACAAGTTAGAATCACACCATTACAAATAATATAGAAATCTAATTGGCATTTTTGTTACAATACTTCAAGTTGAGTATTTGCTATATATGCATATTTATGTGATAAAAATTCTCTAATGTTCATTATACTATAGAAATGTATGACAGTAGGAGAAAAGCATAATAATGATTTTTATTTCATACAGTAGTAAAGATGCAGTAAACTTAAATTTACATGAAAATAAAAACTAAAGAGAGAAGCTATGTTAAGCTACAAAACAAAAGTTTTGGCATCTTTCACTGCTTATTTTAAAGTAGTTGTGCTGTTTTAAAGACTGTCTTTCTCATGTTTTTGAATTGTCAAAGTCACATTACTGAATCACTTTGCTTTAGGCCCATTGAAAAAGGACTTGGGTTAGATGAGTAGTGAATAATGTAATGTGACATTTTAATACTGATTAGACTTTTATAAAGATTTTCTCCTTTCTATGGAAGAAGATGTGCATGGGATAAATTTCAAAACTATTTTATCCATACTAAACTACTTAGTCCTAATATTTTCTAAGTTATACCTAAGGACTTATATTTTTGGAGAGCTATACTTAGTTGACAAAATAATTACAATTAAATACTTTGTTAACTGAGCTTTAAGTTGATTTGCTTGATCAAATCTATTATTATTTTACCTAATTAAGACACTTTAAACTCTTAATTAGAATGTTTATCCACATTTTGATATTCTCTTTCTCAACCCTTGAATAACCCCAATGCTTTCTACATAAAAATCTTAGGATGTCATATTTCTAAATAAATTTCATCATTGACCTCAATAGAAATATAACTGAAACATTATTTAATCACATTGATATATAAAGCAAGACGTTAGAGGTATGGCCTTACTAGGCTTTCTGATCACACTTTGCTCATCTGCAAATTGGAATGCAAAATAAAAATTGAATGACTAGTCAAGGGACTTGTATTTGTTTTCCATTGCTTTTGTGGCAAATCACCATGCAGTTAATGGTTTACAACAACATGGCTGTTTCCATGGATCAAGAATCCATGCCTCATATGGCTAGGTCCTTTGCTCAGGTTTCACCAGGCTGAAAACAAGGTATTGGCTGGGGCTGTGTTCTTACCTGAAGATTAGGGTTCTTTCCCAGTGGTTGTTGGCCCACATTAGTTGATTGTGGCTATTTTTTTTTTTTTTTTTTGGTAACTATTGGTCTTTTAGCTCTTAGAGGCCACTGCATTTTCTTGTCACATAATCCCTATAAGCCATGCTATTTACAACAATGCTGTTTACTTTCTTACTGGCTAGCAGAACAACATCTCTCTAACATTTTTTTCCTCTCTGATCTGCCAGAAAAGAGCCTCATATAATTGTAACCTACTTACAGGAGTGATCTTCAACCACCATTGACCACATAATTTAATCTAATCAAAAGACAGACTATCTTATCATAGTCACAGGTTTCACCCACATTCAAGTATAGGGAATTATACCTGGTGTGTACACCAGTGAGTGGAATTTTGAGAGCAATCTTAGAATTCTGCCTACCACAGGTTTAAATTAGTTTAGTTTCAATTAACTGGTTTGATTCTCTCCCTACTATGTGAATGCATTAACATGATATAATTACTTCTGTCATACTTCTAAATTTGCTAGGACACCTCATTTTAAGTAGGATTACCCCTAGATACACTTGTGAAGAATACATTGTCTTAAATATCTATTCTTTCAAACTTTTATAGGAAGTTCAACAACCACTCAAAACTTAAACTTTTAATGGTTTTTATTTTTAATTGACAAAATTTACGTCGGTCATGTATTCACTTTACATTTAAAGATGCAGTAGAATGATCATGGGCTATGGAGCCACATATACCCCAAGTACAGTTCTGGCTTGATCATTTAGTAAATTACCTTCTCCACAAGCTTCATTAATTTCCTATGAGACTCAGTTTCCTTACCAAAAACATGAAGAAATAATACTTTACTCTCAGATTTATTGTGAGAATAAAATGACAATGAGTGTGGATGTGTTTGGTAAACCCTTTTGCTTATCATAATATATGCACTCAATATATACATTCGGCAAGCCAGTATTTAATATCTTACTACTACTCTCAACTACCTAGAGGTTGGGTTGTTGATTGCTACTTATGGAGATTGCCTTTAAGCAATTATTTCCCATTTGCTCGACTTTATATGATGGCTGTACAGAGTAGATTTTTGCAGGAAGCTTCATCTGCTAATATGAAACCAAATTTCTATTAGTTTAGATTAGACTGTATCATCATTGCAATTTAACGTTTCAATTTAATGGTTTAATGTAAAGTAAATGGTGTGCATATATATTTATGCATCAGAAAACCATTAAGTGAATTCATATGATTTACAAAAATAATTAATTTGCTCTTCTGAAGAGAAAGGTTATATTGCATATCAGAGTGAAATAACTATAATTTTTCTATTCCTTTCCATTATTATCCAAATTATAGAACAAAGAAGTAAAAGCCATTTTATAGTAGGTCCCCAAGAAAAAGTAAACACACCTATAAAAATTATGCTGCTTTCCCTTAAAGATGCTTTGTTCTGAATTATGAAATACTGTTAATAATTTAAAAGAATAGAGATATTACTTTAATTTTTAATTATCTAAAAAATAAAAATCTCATTCCATTTTGCACTGTGTGCCATTGAGTATTGTAATAATTCGGTAGGTCAAATTATCACGTATTAAATGTAATTTTAATTTGGTTTCTTTTGTACTACAAATCTTCATGAGATTTGATTTCATTTTTTTATAATCTAATATTGGCATGTTATGACAAAAAAAACCTAAATAATATGTATTTTGAAAGTAAGATGATTCCTTAGGCCCACTGTTAATGGTTTATCTAGTGATAAGAGAAATGTTAACAATTTTACTTTGCCATTCTGTCTTGAATAAATAACGGAAATTCTACATATATCCATGTTTACATTAAAATATCTCATGTGATTTTCAATTCTATGTAACTTTTGTGGAGTGCAATAGGGTGTTTCTAGGTCACTGCAGCCTCAAACGCCTGGGATCAAGTGATCGTCCTACCTCAGCCTCCAGAGTAGCTAGGGCTACAGACACACACCACTAAACCCAGCATTAATTTCTTTTTAAGAGACGGGGTCTCGCTACATCCTGCCTCAGCATCCCAAAGCACTGAGATTTACAGGTACAAGCCACCGTGCCCAGCAATTTTCTGTAACATTTGATATGTATATCTTACCCATCTTTTTAATCTATTTCTTTAGAAATTTTTTGTGGCTTCTGTTCTCTCTCCATTGAATATGTCAATTCCACATTTGAAGTTGTAATATATAGGAGAAATATTGCAATAAAGCACGTGAAAAATTAACTTTCAGCATCTTTTCTCTGCACTGGCAAAAATGATTATGGAATTATGCTGCAGAAAATTTCAGTCTTTTGTCAGCTGATTGCAATATAGTCTCTTAAAATTTTGTTTGCTTTTCTTAATACAAATGATGATCACAGTACCTGTTTTATTTTCCAACTTTTTAAGTTATTTTAGTAGGATATTGTGGGCATTCTTCTATGTTAGTAGATCCGGTTTTTAATCATAATGATTCATAGCTGCTTTTTGTCGTATAGTTTGACTTTACCATAGTTTATTCTATTATAAATTCTTAGTGGTAGCTGTTTCAATCACTATAAGCAATATTGTGATGAACATTTTAGTACATATATCCTTGACTACTGTTTGTTCAAATTTTGTTTTGTTTTAAGCTGAACTGCAATGAAACTGCTTGGTCAAATGTATATGTATTTTTAATTTTACTAGATGTTTCCAAATTACTTTCTAGAGTGGGTCTAAAGGTGTACATTCCAAGCAGTACTCCATGAAAAACATGTTCCCTTGGTATTCATTATTATGAGCTCTTATTTCTTAAATGTTTTGCGATCTTTTTAGTGAAAAAGCATGGTATATGAATGTTTAAAATTACTTTTTTATACCATGGTAAGAGTACTTTTTGTTGCAAGAGATGTATATATCTAATTTAAATAGCCTGAAGAAATAAATGAGAATCAACTGAATCATATTATTGAAAAGTCCAGGAACAGATATTAAAGCAAGACAGGATGAAATAATATGACAAGAACCTGACTTCTTTTTTGCTCTCGGTTATATAGTTTTGTGAGTTAATCAGTGTCATGCAGGTTTTAAAATTATGCTTTACTGGTGCATTAACTTTCAAGAATAATGATTTCTATTTCTACATGTTTTATATCTACATTTTCAACAGTTATTTAGACCATTCTATATTTAACTGGTCTTAGTTCCCAGTGCCTGTTCCATTATGTCATGAGTGTGTCATTGTTTAAATTTTCAACTTTTATTTTAGATATAGGTGGTACATGCGCAGGTTTGTTACAGGGGTATATTTCATGATGCTAAGGTTTGGGGAACAGACTCCATCACCTAGGTAGTGAGCATAATACCCAGCAGGTGGTTTTTCAACTCACACCTTTCTACCTAACTCCATTTTCTAGTAATCCACAGTGTTTATTTTCCCCATATTTATGTCCATGTGTGCCCGATGTTTAGCCCTCAGTTATAAATGAGAAGACGTAGTACTTTGTTTTCTGTTCCTGAATTGATCTATTTATGATTATGGCCTGCAAATGCATCCAGATGGCTTTAAAGGAAATGATTTTATTCTTTTTATAGGTACATAGTATTCTATGGTGTGTATATGTCACATTTTCTTTATCCTGTTCACATTTGATGAGCACCCAGGTTGATTTTGTGTCTTTGCTGTTGTGATTAGCATGGCAATGAACATGTGAGTGCATGTGTCTTTTTGATAGACTGCTTTATTTTCCTATAGGTATATACCTAGTAATAGGGTTGTTGGGTCAAATGGTGGCTCTATTTTATTATTTATTGCATTTGTTTTCTTATTTAAAAATAATCTTCACTGACATTTGTCTAAATTTATTACATAAACTGTACTATGATCTACTTTTATTTTTAAAATTTAAACATGTTTGCCCTTATTATTGCTAATGGTATTTCTAGGTAGAGATATCTTCTCAGTAATTGTGCCTAGGATGTGATTAGTGCCCTACAAAACAAGCACTTTTCTCAACTCAAGAAATTATTATACTATTTATTTTTGTTAATTTTGCATCCTTTTAGAAGCAATATCTTTTTCAAAGCATATCGTATATCTGTAAATTAGCTATCTTCTCTCTGATCTTACCTATCTTTTCTTACATTATTTTCATCTCCATTTTCTTTCTCTCATTATTTTTATTTATTGGTCCTTTTTTAATTTGGAGAGTGTTCCTATATACATTTTAAACTATTACTTCAATTTTTGTTCTGATTTGTAGATGTTAATTCTGCTATTACAGTTTTGCTTTTTTTATAGCTTCTTTATAATGCCCTGTTACTTTTTATCTCAACTTATTCTCTTTTACATTCCTATGCTCTACTTTCAAATTCTATTTTTCTCTTAAATATTTTGAAAGAGAAAATATTTTTCTTAAAATTTTCTTTTGTATTCTACATAGATAATTATTTAAAGTATGCATTCCTGATCTTAAGTAATTTTCTTTATGTTGTGTTGTCATCTTATTTTCTCATTTATTTATTTGCATATACTCAAGATGACATCTTTCCAGGTTAAAATTTTTTGACAGAAAGTGTGGGTAAACCTTAGGTGGGTTCCCTCTTGTATTAGTTCATTTTCACAATGCTACAAAGACATATCCAAGTCTGGGTAATTTATAAAGGAGAGAGGTTTAATCACCTCACAGTTCTGCATGGCTGGGGAGATCTCAGGAAACTTACAATCATGGGGAAAGGCAAGAGAGAAGCAAAAGCATGTCCTACATGGTGGCCGGAGAGACAGAGCAAACAAACGAAGGGGAAGAGTATAAAACCATCAGATCTCATCAGAACTCACTCACTGTCATCATTATCATGAGAACAGTATTGGGGAACCACCCCCATGATCTAGTCACCCCCCCACCAGGTCCCACCCTTGACACGTGGGGATTATAGGGATTACAATTCCAGATGTGATTTGGGTGGAGACACCAAGCCAAACCATATCACCTCTCCAGTTGTTATGGGTAAACTTCATTCTTTTATCTAATGCTGTGGGTCAAGTTTTTGTGTAAAATTTTCAGTCAAGTTCCTAGAGTACATGTACAATACACTTCTCTGATATTTGAACTATAAAAATGTTTAATTCAAAGGAAGAGATAGCAAAGTAGCAAAGAGATCTCTTTTATTTATTTATTTTTTTTTTGAGACAGAGTTTCGCTCTTGTTGCCCAGACTGGCATGCAATGGCACAATCTCATCTCACCGCAACCTCCACCTCCTGGGTTCAAACGATTCTCCTGCCTCAGCCTCCTGAGTAGCTGAGATTGCAGGCATGTGACACCACACCCAGCTAATTTTGTATTTTTGGTAGAGACAGGGTTTCTCCATGTTGGTCAGGCTGGTCTCGAACTCCAGACCTCAGGTGATCCGCCTGCCTCGGCTTCCCAAAGTGCTGGGGTTACAGGTGTGAGCCACAGTGCCTGGCCTCTTTCTTTTTTTATTTGTACAAGAGCATTAATATGACTGCATCGAAAATTATCACCTATTAAGTACCCAATTTACTGCTAAGTACAAGTTTTGGGCCTCTAATTTAAGGAATAGAGAGTAACGTGTTACAAAGTGGCTTGCTGACTACATTCAGTTTGTGTTTCATTGCCAGAGAATATTAGATCATTCTTGGCATATTGTTTTGCTTGCTTTGCATTTGTTTTCTTATTTAAAAATAATCTTCATTGACATTTGTCTTTTTCTATGAGAAGAAATGCATTTTTTTAATTAATTTTAAACAAGCCTTAATTATCTATCTAGTTGTAAGTTTTTCTTTTCCCTAAGTCTTCATAGCAATTTTACTTGGAAGAAAACAGAGTCTGTGAAGAGGATTGTTCCTGTATGTCATAAAACTTATATGCTATTCTATGTCAAATAAAATTAATTATAGTCATGAGAGAAAAATTTAAAATACACCTTCTCAATAAATGGAGTTGAAAAATACTCACTATAAAGAGTTATTGTAAGTCAATTTTTGAAAAATAATTGGCAGGAATTTAACTCAATATGCATAACTCAAAAGGAACAATCTTTTCCTTGTTTGTATAGGGAATAATCTATCTTTGCCAATTGAATTATATTTATAGCAAGCATCTAGAAATAATAAAATAACCACAGTGAAATTAAAATTATTGATAGTTTAAAAATGACACTATTTTGAAGATGTGGCACTTGCATTGAATAAATGTCTACAACATATAAAAGTATAATTATTCCATTTTATATTTAATTGCTATATTAATTCTGAACTGTAGCATATGTTCATTACAAAAGTGTAATATATTTTGATAAGTATATTGTCAAAACCCTTTAATAATTCATTTTTATTAGCAGCATAGGACTATGCTGACATTTCCCCAGGGTACATTGGGTGAGGTTAAGCAGTCTAAATGTCACAGTTAGTAACGTCGTTAAGACAAAGCCCTTGTAGTAAAACTGCATGTTAGTTCCCTGTTTTATGGCCCTTAACAGTAACATTACAAATCGGCCTATGTTTGAAATCATGCATTGCATTTATAAGAATGAAATAATAGGGTACAAAACTGTGACTCTTAGATACACATACTCACTGTCGGATGAGAATATTTGAAAGAAGTAGTAATAATCAGTCATTGGAGGGCAGATATGCAAAAAAAAGAAGTAGCAATGATGGATATAAAATCAAATGATAAATTTCATTTACACTGTGCTTTCAGGAGAGAGAAAAGCACACATCACGGACATCTAATGCTATCTAGTTCAGACTAAGCAAATAAATTAGAAGATGGAGAACTTTTACATTTGAAATGTTCATTTCCTAAATTTCTGTGTGAAAGGGTCTTATGCTATAGCATGCACTTTCCTCACTCTTTACCTGTATGTGAATGTCTGTAAATAATACATTAATAATTTATCGTTTTAGCAAGTGAAATAACATTTTAAAAATAAAAATGTTAATATTAATTTTGCTTATTACTAAAATAATATCCTAGATCTGAGGTAGAGGTATCAAAGATTCACATCAGAACATATCAGTGCATCTAGTGGAATTAATGCAAAATTTGCATTAATTTGTTATAACTCAATACAATCATCGTGTTCTGAATTCATAAACAATAAGAGTAAATAAATACTATGTACAATTTTGAAACAATTTCAAGTTATATGATATTTTAATTTACTATTTTTACTCAGCCTACTTTGGATCTTCTCTCTTTTTTCTCTATTAGTCTAGCTTGTGGTCTATCAGTGTTATGAATTCCATCAAATAATTAAATTTGTTTGTGCTGATATTTTGTATGAAATTTGCCTGTCAGTTGCATTAGTTCAGCTTGATTTTGATTATTCATTTTCTTCTGCTGGCTTTGGGGGTGGTTTGCTCTTGTTTCTCTAGTTCCTCTAGGTATAATGTAAGTTGCTAATTTGAGATCTTTCCAAGTTTTGTATGTAGGTATTTAGCACTAAAATTTACCTCTTATTACTACTTTAGATGTGTCTCAGAAATTCTGGTATGTTGTATTTTTGTTTTTATTAGTTTCAAATAATTTATTGCATTCTGCCTTAATTTTATTCTTTACCCAAAGTCATTCAGGAGCAGGTTCTTTAATTTCCATGTAATTGTATGGCCTAGAAAGATCTTTTTGAAGTTGATTTCCACTTTTATATTGCTGTGGTCCAAGAGTGTGGTTGGTATAATTTTGGCATTTCTGACTTTGTTGAGAATTGTTTTATAGCCAACCATGGGGTTGATCTTAGAGTATGCGCAACGCGCAGATGTACAGAATGTATATCTTGCTGTTGTTGGGTGAAGTGTTATGTAAATGTCTGCTGGATCCATTTAATAAAATTTTGAGTTTAGGCCCTGAATATTTTTGTTAATTTCCTGCCTTAGAGACTGATAATGGGGTGTTAAAATCTCCTGCTAGTCTTGTATGGAAATAAAAGCGACTCCATAGGTCCCTAAGATTTTTTTTTTTAAATAAATCTGAGTTCTGTAGTGTTGGGGGTGCAGATATATTTAGAATATTAAAATGTTCTTGTTTAATTGAACTTATTATTATTATTTAATGCTCTTCTTTTTTGATCATTGTTGGTTTACATTCTGTTTGGTCTGAAATAAGAATAACTTCCCCTGCTAAATTTTGTTTTCCATTTGCTTGATCAATTTTTTATTTATCGCTTTACTTTGCACCAATGGGTTTTTTCTTGCATGTGAGATGGATCTTTTGAAGACAGCATATGGTTGGGTCCTGCTTACTTATTCATTTTGCCATGTGGTGCCTTTAAGTGGATGGTATAGTTTGGATATATGTCCTCACCAAATCTGATGTTCAAATATAATTCCCAATGTTGGAGATGGAACCTGATGGCTGGTGTTTCGGTCTTGGTAGTGTATCCCTCATGAATGGTTCAGCACCATACCCATGGTGCTATTCTTGTGGCATTGTGTTCTTGTGAGATATGGTTGTTTGAAGGTATGTGGCACCTCCCTCACTCTTGCTTCTGCTTTTGCCATATGACATGCCTGCTCCCACTTTACCTTCCACTATGAGTAATATTTCCCTGAGGCTTCTCCAGAACCTGAGCAGATGTCAGTGCCTTGCTTCTACAACCTGAAGAAACGTGAGCCAATTAAATTTCTTCTCTGTATAATTTACAAAGTCTCAGGTATCCCTTAATAGCAGTGCATACATGGCCTAATCCAGAAAATTGGTATTTTGGAGTAGGGCATTGCAATAATGATATCTGAATATGTGGAAATGACTTTGAAAGTGGGTAATGAGAAGACTTTAGAAGAGTTTGGAGGACTCAGAAGAAGACAGAAAGCTGAAGGAAAGTTTGGAAGTTCTTAGAGACTGCTTAAATGGTTGTGGCCAAAATGATAATAGTGATATGGAGAGTGAAGGCCAAGCATAGGAAGTCTCAGATGGAAATGAGTAACTTATTAGTAACTGGAGCAAAAGCCACCCTTGCTATGCTTCAGCAAAGAGCTTTGATGCCTTGTTTCTGTGCTCTAGGGATCTGTCTCAGTACGAACTTAAGAGCAACAACATAGGTTAGCTTATTGACAAATTTCTTAGCAACAAATTGCTCAAGAAGTAGCATGGCTGCTTCTCAAAGCATACACTTAGATTTGGGAACAAATAATGTACTTAAAGTTAAAACTTATATTTAAAAAGGAAGTAGAGCAGATACATTGGAAAAAATTGTAGGCTGACTTTGTAGCAGAGACGAAAAAAAGCATTATTAGTAGAGACATCCAAGTGGGTTGCAGAGCAACCACTTGCTAGAGATATTTGCATGACTAAAAAGAGTCATATGCTTATAGCTGAGGCAATACAAAAAAGGCCTCCAAGGCAATTCAGAAGACTTCCAGCTCACCCTTACTATCCAGCTCTCCTTTACTTCCAGCTCATCCTTACTATCATAGGCCGAGAGGTCTAGGAGAAAAGAATGGTTTCATGGGCCATGAACAGGAAACCACTGCCCTGTGCCACACCAGAAGATTGCTTCTCATATCTTGGCCTCCCTGGTTCTAACTACATCTCAGAAAGCCCTAGGGATGACTCAAGCTTCTGCTTCAGAGGGTGTAAGCTCTACGCTTTTGTGGCTTCCATGTTTTCTTAAGCCTGTAGGCATGCTGAGTGCAAGAGTAAAGGAGGTTTGACAGCTTCCACATAGATTTTAGAGGATGTATGAGAAAGCCTGCATTCCTAGTCAGAAGCCTACTACAGGGGCAGAGTTTTCATAGAGATACTTTACTAGGGCAGTGCCAAGTGGAAATGTGAGGTTGGAGCCCAAACACAAATTCTTAAATGGGGCACTCACTAGAGGAGCTGTGTGAAGAAAGCCACCGTCATCAACAATCCGGAATGGTACATCCACCTGCAGCTTGCACCTTGAACCTGGAAAGGCCACAGGCACTCAACTCTAACCTTTGAGAGAAGCTGCAGGTGCTGTACCCTGCAATGCCACAGAGGCAGAGCTTCCTAAGGCCTTGGGAACCCACTTCTTGCACCAGTGTGCCCTGGATGTGGATATAGAGACAAATAAGATTATTATGGAACTTTAAGGTTTGATGACTTCCCCACCGCATTTCAGACTTGTGTGTGGCCTGTAGCCATTTTTTTTTTTGTGGCTGATTTCTCCCTTTTGCTGTAGGAATGTATAGCCAGTGCCTATACCCCATTGTACCCTGGAAGTGAATACCTGTTTTTTCTTTTACAGGCTCATAAGTGGAAAGGACTTAGCTTGTCTCAGATGAGACTTTGGAGTTGGACTTAGGACTTTTGAGTTAAATGTGGAATGAGTTAAGACTTTTGGGATTATTGCAAAAGCATAATTGTATTTTGCAACATGATAAAGACATGAAATTTGTGGGGCCAGAGGTGGAATGATATAGTTTGGATGTATGTCCCCACCAAATCTCTTAATGAAATATAATCTCCAATACTGAAAGTATAATCTGATAGGAGATGTTTGCAACATTAAGGTATATCCCTCATAAATGGTTTAGTGCCATCCCCTTGGTGATTTCCTCAGGATAGTAAGTGAGTTCTCATGAGATCTGATTATTTGAAGATTTGTGGCACCTCCGCTCCCCCGACAACTTGCTGCTGTTTTTGCCATGTGATGTACCTGCTCCCACTTTGCCTTATTCCATGACTAAAAGCACCCTGAGGTCTCCCCATAAACCAAACAGATGCTGAAGCCATGGTTGTACATCCTGCAGAACCATAAGCCAATCATACCTCCTTTCTCTATAAACTACCCAGTCTCAGGCTTTCTTCTATAGCAATTCCAGAACAGTCTAACATATGCATTTAGCCCATTTATGTTCAAGGTTATTTTTTATATATGAGAACTTGGTTATATCATGATGTTGTTAGCTGGTTGTTATGTAGACTTGATTGCATAGTTTCTTTATGGTGTTAATGGTCTATGTACTTAAGTTTGTTTATGTGTTATCTGGTAATGGTCTTTCATTTTCATGTTTAGCACTCCCTTAAGTAGCTCTTTTAGGGCAGGTCTGGTAATAGCAAATCCCTTAGCATTTGCTTGTCTAAGAGGTGTTTTCTTCTCCTTTGCTTATGAAGCTTAGTTTGACTGAATACACAATTGTCATTTGGAATTTTGTTTTTTTGTTAAGGATGCTGAGTATGAGCCTGCAATATCTTCTGTCTTATAGGATGTCTGCTGAAAAGTCCACTGTTAGCCTGATGTGGTTCCCTTTGTAGGTGACCTGCCCCTTCTCTCTAGCTTCCTTTAATATTTTTTCTTTCACATCGACTTTAGAGAATCTGATGACTGTGTATCTTGGGGACTACCATCTTGTATAGTATCTCATAGAGGTTCTCTTAATGTCTGGAATTTAAATTGTTGATCTCTCCAATGAGGTTGGGGATATTTTAATGAACAATATCCTCAAATATATTTTCCAATTTGCTTTCTTTTCCTCCCTCTCTTTCAGGGAGGCTGAGTTATAGATTTGTTGTTTTTACATAATACCATATTTCTTAAGGTATTTTGTACATTCTTTTTATTTTTTTTCTTTATTTTATCTGACTGAGTTGATTTGAAGAACCTGTCTTCAAACTCTAAGATTTTTTTCTCAAGTTGTCTTTCGATTCTACCGTTAATACTTCTGATTGTATTATGAAACCTTGTGGTGATTTTTTTAGTTCTAGAAGATTAGGTTGGTTCTTTCTTAAAATATGTATTTCAACTGTCAGCTCTTATATTGTTTTACTGAATTACTTAGATTCCATGGATTGAATTTTAACTTTCCATTGAATCTCAATGAGCTTCATTGCCATCCAGATACTGAATTCTATGTCTGTTGTTTCAGCCATTCCAGCATTATTGAGAACTATTGGTGCAGAACTAGTGTGGAACTTTGGAAGTAAGAAGACCCTCTGGCTTTGTGAGTTGCCAGACATTTTGTGCTGGTTCTTTCCATCTGTGTGAGCTAATATTCCTTAAATCATTAAAGTTGTTATCCTTTGAATGGTGCTTTTGGCTTTTATATTCTTTGATGTTCTGGAGGGTTTGATTGTAGTGTTAGGTTCAGTCAACTGACATTATTTGTGGACAACTTCAGTGGACCAAGGTTCAGCTCAGCAGTCATGGGCTGCATGTTCTAACCCTATTTGGCTAGATCCAAGCCTGTGGCTTTGTTCTATGGCACCTCAGGGTTAAGCAACTCCTGTGCTGGAGGGAATAACGTGTTTCTTGTTTGCTGGGAACAAGACACCCATGTGGTGTGTTGTCAAATGTGCTTCATCAGGTCAGGGGAGGCAGAATCTGCATGTGTGTACTGGTGGTGTTGTGGCAACACAGTGGGGTATGTGTGTGTATGCTCACACCAGCAGTGGTGAGGTAGTGGAGTCTACATTTGCTATCATGCTGGCAGTGGCAGAGCAGTGATATCTGCTCATGAATGTGCTCTGGTGAGGGCAGGGTGGTGAGGTTCACATGTGTGCTTACCACAGCAAAGCAGTTGTAGGAGGCTACAGGTGAGTGTGCACCAGCAACGTCATGGGGGTAGGCTGTGAATGAGTGTGTGCCTGCAAAACAGTGGCAGGCAGCTGCAAGTAGGTGTGTGCCAGTGGGAACCCACCTGCAGAAACTCTTGTCTGTTAGTTGGAATCTGCCAGCCAAGGAGTTATGGTGGCAGCTACCAGGAAGCACCTATGTTGGGAATCCAAGGCTGTGTTGTAATTGGGCATGGCCAATCCGGGACCCCAGGAGTGGCTGGTAGACTGAGGGATACACAGATATGAGTGGCCCCATCCCACCGTTAAGAAAGTCCCTCTCTGTCCAAGTTCTACAGTCAAAAAAGGTCATAGCCACCTGGAGGAGTGTGGTGAGTCTTGGGGAATGGAAATCCCTGGTTTTGCTTCAGTGAAACCATTTTCAGACCAAGCCGTCTGGACTCCACACAGGCTGGATTCCTGTCCCTGTCAACTTTGCAGGCAGCTGTCCCTGACAGTTCAAATGTTCATGGGGGGCCTGGGTTCTCTTGCACCTGGGATTCCAGAGGTCCAAGGAGAGAGTGGGCCACACTATGCCAATTTACTTCACCACTTCCCCAGGAGCCACTCATCTCCAGGAGCAAGTCCTGGCACTCAGCAACTCTATACAGGGTTTCCAGATTCCTCCCCCTTCAGCCCAAGGTCTGTGTCTTCTCTCTGTCCACTCTCAATGCCTTCCTTCTGAAGATCTGCTCAGAATGTGCTGGTCTTCTTAATGGCCTTGTCTCTTAATGGGGCAAAACTCTTCCTGGCTGCATCTGGTTGGCCATCTTGGCTCTTATATGATAAAAACACTTAAGCAACTGGGAATATAAAAAAGTGCCTCAAAACAATAAAAGCCCTATATAAAAAATTCAAGTAAACATCATATACTCAATGATGATGGGCTAAATCTTTTAATTTAAATTTAGAAACAGAACATGCCACCTGATTTTGCCAATACTATTCCACATAGTATTAGAAGTTATATCCCGAGTAATTAGGAAGAAAAAAAAATTAAAGGCATCCAAACTAGAAAGGATGAAGTCAAATTGTTTCTGTTTGCACATGACAGGTACTTATACAAAGCAAATCCTAAATACTCCACCACAGCCTTAGAAATAATAGACAAATATTGTAGGATGCAAAATCAATGCACAAGAATTAGTTGCATTCCTTTACAATAACAATAAAAATTCTGAAAAGGAAATTCAGAAAACAGTTCAATTTGCAATACCATCGAAATGTATAAAATACTTAAGGATCACTTTAACTGTGTAGGTGAATGACCTATATACTAAAAACTACAAAGCATTGCTGAAGGAAATTAAGAAAGACACAATAAATGGAGAAACATCCTGAGTTAAGAAATTGAAACATTTAATATTATCAAGATGTCAATACTACCCAAAGAAATTTACAAATTCAATGCAATCAATATCAACATACAAGCAATGATTTTGAAGACATGCAAAAATTCAATCCCAAATTTATATGGACTCTCAAGGGACCTCAACTAGCAAAAAAAAAAAAAAAAAAAAAAAAAAAACCCTGGAAAATGAAGAAAAAAGTCAGAGGACTTACACTTCTTGATTTTACATCTTTTTACAATGTAACACTAAGCAAAGCATTGTGCTGGCATAAAGAGGCATATATACCAATGTAATAAAATAAAAACTCCATAGAAAAGCTTTTAAGTATATTGTCAAATGCTTTCCAACAAGTGTACCGAGATCTTTCAATGGGGAAGAGTGTTTTCAAGCAGTGCTTTTTGTAAAACTGAATATCCACATGCAAAAGAAAAAATTTGGACCTTTACCCTATAACATATAAAAATTAACTAAAAATAGGTCAAGGATCTAAATGTAATAGCTAAAATTATAAAATGCTTAGAAAAAAATATAAGAGGACTGCTTCATGACATTAGATTTGGAAATACTTCCTTGGACAAGACAGCAAATGCTCAGTTAACCAAAGAAAAAAAAATGAATAAATGGTTTCTTACCAAGTTAAAAACATCACTGCATCAAAGAACACTATGAAAACAATGCAAAAGCAACCAAAGAATGGGAGAAAATATTTGCAAATCATCTACCATGTAAATATAAAATATCCCTACAACTCAACAACAACAAATCAAACAACTCAATTTAAAAATGGGCTAAAGACTTGAATAGATTTTTTTCCCAAAGAAAGTATGCAAATTGCCAAGAAGCACATAGAAATATAATTATCATCACTAATCATTAGTAAACATAAAACATCAATGAGATTAAATGGCACATAAAGTAAAATTTGTTTTATAAAAAACAATCAACCAAAAACAGAAAATAACAAAATGTTGGTGAGGATGTGGAGAAATTTTTACTTTAGGCACCGCTGGTGGGATGAAAAATGCTGCAGCTACTGAGGAACTCAGTCTGGCCCTTCCTCATAAAGTTTAAAATTTAGCAATTTTACTCCTAGGTTTATACCCAAAACTATTGAAAGCAAACATTTGAACAGATATTTTTACACCCATTAACATAGTGGCATTTTTCATAAAGGCCAAAAAATGAAAACAACCCAAATTTCCATTTAAAGATAAATAGATAAGCAAAATGTGGTATACATTTTTGGTATACACAAAATAGAATATTATTGAATATTGTTCAGACTTAAAAAGATTGAAATTCTGATACATGCTTCGGCATGGGTGAATCTTACAGATGTTACACTAAGTAAAATTAACAGACACACAAAACAATAAATAGTGTATGATACTTCTTTTATAAGATGCATAGAGTGATCAAATTCATAGAAACATAATAGTATGGTGTTTGAAGAAACTGCAGTGATGTTAATTGGAGAGTTATTGTTTAATGGGTTACAAGTTTGTTTGTAAAAACAAAAAAATTATAGAGATGAATGGTGTTGATATTTTCTCAATAATGTTAATGTACTACATACCACTGACTGTACACCTAAAAATTGCTAAAATGGTAAATGTATGTTATATATATTTTACCACAATAAAAAAATCTACTTCAACGGATTTCAAATGTAGATTTTATATTTGCCTTATGTTTTCTGTGTGTATTAACATTTGCATGAATTCCTATTATTTACTTTCTGTTATCTACATTTCTTAATAGCATAATTTTTTCTGTTTTTAATTTTAATTCACTGTCTGTTTGGATTACTTAAGCAATGTGTTAGTGGATGGCTGCTTTACTAATTCATTGCATCTATGAAAATAGTTTCATTATCTTTGAACATGATTGATGCTTTCAGTAGACAATAGAGTATTACTGAGTAAAAAGTTATCGTCCTAAATATTACTCTCATTCTATTGATTGAATATATATGTATGTGTGTACATGTGTGCATGTGTGCATAATGGAAAGAAAAGGGTGTATACATTTTTAAAGAACAAGTAGTATTAATTTATTTATATGCATCTTATATATACCTCATAGACATAAATATAAACATAAAGGTAAATAAATACATAGAAAATAGAAGCTGTTAAGATACACGGAAAAGGTAAATATGATATTTCATTCATAATGATGTTTAGGTCTTCTGCATGTCCATTCTATGCTCAATAAATTGTAAACTGAACATGCAGAAACTATTTTATTTGATACATATTTTATAATTTCTATATATTTTTATATATACTTATGTAAACATAAGGATATATACTTTATAGTGTGCTATCTGCAAAAGTGGCACACCTGAAGAAAACTAAAGACGTATTTTCTCAATTATGAAATAATTTGGGAAACATTTAAACATGGATGCCAGAAGGATCATGAGACAAACCATGAGAAGGCTGGATTCTACTCTAGGTAGAAATTTTATAAAGTTTTTTTTTTATTATTTTTTAAAAATTTGTACCTTGTAGATAATGATCATCATCCCAGGTTTGTAATAATCAAATTAAATAAAGGGTATAAAAATACTTTGAAAATTATAAAAGAGTTCAGATATTTTATTGAACTTTAGCACTTCCAGAGACAAAACTGGCAAACTATGAACTTTATTTCACCTTTTGTCCCAAAATGTTCATATTTGGAAAAGTAGTATTTTAGCAGGTGCTTTTATTTTTTTATTAAATGTTTTTAAATTAACCATAATGATCTTTCTAGTCTTTGTTCTATCAATATGTCTTCTCAAAAAGGAACATTCTTTTAAAAATAACTCTTTTATTCCATGATTGCTAATATCTGTTAGCATCTGGGAATAAAAAATAGGACATTTAACTTACAGTATTACTTCTTCACATGTTAAAATTAGTGAAATTGTTTCCTGATTATCATGATTTAAGTTCTACATTCTTAAGAAGTTAGAATATAATTACATATATTATTACTGTGGCATGAAAAGCACAAATTGTTTACAAAATGTGAAAATAAGTATACATTAAAAAGGACAGAATAATTAACAGATAAACAATGGAAAATCCTTGAAGAGGAAATAAACAGTTACAAAACAACATAAGTAAGATATATGAGATACTCTATATGGAATCTTTATTACATTCTTACATTCATGAAAAATTCAAATGACAAATTAGGGTATTTAACTATTATTAAAGAATAGCGAAATTATGTATTTATATTTCCATCTAAATGGCCGCCATGAGGATTTTTAATACAATATAATGAGAAACATCATTTGGGAAAACAGACTTTACTCAAGATTACCATCCATAATATACATAGCTCTTCTTTTATAATGCAAAACAACCAGAGAAGAAAATTAAAATCAATAGTAATCAATGCTGATCAGCAGTCAGGACCCAAATTTGGACGCGAGCTTTTAAGATGTGAGCTAAAAGGAAGTGTCCCTGGAACCCTAGAAATAGATCAGAACATATAAGAATCTTGAATAAACAAGGTAACTTCAGAAAATCATTGGTAAAATACAAGCATGGGTTGAGGAGATATTATATCAACACATTATTAATTTAGATTAATATTAATTAAGACTCATTACTTAGAGGAAAACAGTGTATTTGAAACTTCTTCAAAGTAGTGTGAATTAGGTTTTTTTAGTCTGAGGAGCAATTTATGCCCTAGAATATTATTGAATAACACAGACCAATCAGCCAGTATTTTGGGGAGCTAAGCAGCTGGGTGTGATCTAAGAAAGAAACAGTTAAAGAGCCCAGCTGAAATCACTATTTTCCCAGACAGAATATGGGCCTACACAAGGCTGTGACCCTGAGGAGTAACATCAGACACAACACTATAGTTTTGGTGGGTGGGTTGATAAAGAGGGTATGTCAAGAGCTCAGCTGAGCCAGGAGAGAGTGAGACTGTTGAGTTGCCAGGTGTCCAAGTAGCAGATTAAAATAAACCAAAAATGAAACTAATAATTAAGCCTTTAATCACTTACTGTATGATAAGTAGGAGGCTAAAAGTAGAAAATATGCTGACTTCCCCTTCGTTCAGTTTTTTCACATAGAATGGCAAGCTAGTTCAGGGACCAGTCATTTCACTGTTAAGGAAGTTGAAAATAAAAGGATCTTGCATTTTTATGGATTCTGTGCCAGAAACGGGGATGATTGGAGTGGAAATTAATGACCACTGAGTCAGATTAGAGAAAAGTATCTTTAAGGTTTCTGTCTTTCCTCCCTGCCTCTAATATGGAGGCCTTGGTTGACACATCTGAAAACCTTAGCAGTAGGCTCCAGATAAAGAAACTCCTGGATAAATGGGCTTGAGCTAGCATGCAAATATGTGTAGAAGCAACGCTGCCCAGAAGGGTTTGAGTTGAGTATACGTCCTTCAGAGACTGCAATGCGCTGGCTGTGCACTGTTTGGTATGACATGGAAGGCACCTTTCTCCAGTGAGGCTTCCCAGTTAAACAATTCATGATTGCCTTTCATAGGGCTCAGAAAATTACACATAGGTTTTAACCAGCAACTGGACTCCTCAGACTTTACTAAAATAATCCAGAGTATCACTAAACAAATTAAGAAGCAAATAACAAAAACAAGCCCTGCTGTGGTAGGGACTGGTACCCAAAATTGCTACAATACATTCTCCAAAGTGTCCAGTTTCCAACAACAATAAAAAATTACAAGCCATGCAAGAAAAAGAAAAGTGTGACTCATTTCAAATGGAGGAGAGTAAATAGGAGAAACTTCCTGTAATTAGAAGCAAATGTCAGATTAAAGAAGCCTTATAGGTTGTCATTATAAATACTTTCAAATGAATAAAGAAAACTGTGATTATTGAAGTAAGGTTTTGATGACCATGTCATTCCAAATAGACAATATAAAAAAATTTTAAATTTTTTTATGTCTTTATTTTTCTGTTTTTCTTCCAAATTTTATTTTAGATGTGAGGGTACATGTGCCACCTTGTTATGTGAGTAATTGTGGTTTCTTTTGCTGGGTTGTTTTTTTTTTTTTTTTTTTTTGAGACGGAGTCTCGCTCTGTTGACCAGGCTGGAGTGCAGTGGCAAGATCTCTGCTCACTGCAAGCTCCGCCTCCCGGGTTCACGCCATTCTCCTGTCTCAGCCTCCCGAGTAGCTGGGACTACAGGTGCCCGCCACCACCCCCGGCTAATTTTTTGTATTTTTAGCAGAGACGGGGTTTCACCGTGTTAGCCAGGATGGTCTCAATCTCCTGACCTCGTGATCCGCCCGCCTCTGCCTCCCAAAGTGCTGAGATTACAGGAGTGAGCCACCGTGCCTGGCCGTTGCTGGGGTTTAGTGCACAAATGATTCCATCACCCAGGTAGTGAGCATAATACTGGATAGATAGTTTTCAATGCTCACTCTCCTACCACCTTCCACCAGTCAAGTAAGTCCCAGTGTCTATTATTCCCATCTTTGCTTCCAGGTATAAT
Source organism: Homo sapiens (assembly GCF_000001405.40). NCBI lineage: Eukaryota > Metazoa > Chordata > Mammalia > Primates > Hominidae > Homo > Homo sapiens. The sequence continues at coordinate 88,659,519 of NC_000023.11, read as the reverse complement.
TAATGTTGCACTCCCACTTAAAAGTGAAAACGTGATATTTGGTTTATTGTTTTTGTGTGCATTTGCTTAGGACAATGGCCTCTAACTCCATTCATGTGGCTGCAAAGGACATTATTTCATCCTTTTATATAGCTGCTTATAACATGGTGTATATGTACCACATTTTCTTTATCCATTCTGCCATTGGTGGGCAACCAGGTCGATTCCTTGTCTTTGTTCTTGTGAAAAGTGCTTCAGTGACCATACACAAACATGCGTCTTTATGGAAGAATGATTTATATTCCTTTGGGTATATAGTCAGTTATGGGATTGATTGATTGAATTTTAATTCTGCTGTAATTTATTTGAGAAATTTCCAACCTGCTCTCCACAGTGGCTGGACTAATTGACATTCCAACCAGCAGTATATAAGTTAAGTCTTGCTTATTTATCCAACTTGCTACTCTGAGCCTTTTAAGTGAGACCTTTAGCCCATTTACGTTCAAGGTAATACTGATATGTGAGGATTTGATCCTAGCATCATGTTGTTTGTTGGTTGTTATGTAAACTTTGTTGTATAGTTGCTTTATGGAGTCAGTGGTCTACGTACTTGAATGTGTTTTTTTGGTGGCAGGTAATGATCTTTTGTTTCTATGTTTAGTACTCCCTTAAGGACCTCTTGTAAGGCATATATTGTGGTAATAAATTCCTTTAACTCTGCTGTTTTTCCGAAAAGCATTTTATTTCTCTTTATCTTATGAAGATTAGTTTGGTTGGATATGAAATTCTTTGTTGGAATTTCTTTCTTATAAGCATGCTAAATATAAATCTCTAATTCCTTTTGGCTTGGAATATTTTTGCTGAAAGCTCTGCTATTAGCCTGATGGGATTCCCCTTGTAAATGACCTTCCTCTTTTCTCTAGCCCCTTTATCATGTTTTCTTTTGCATTGACCTTGGAGAATCTGATGCCTATGTGTCTTGGAGATAGTTGTGTTGTGTAGTATCTCACAGGAGCTCTATTAATTTCTTAAATGTAAATGTCAACCTCTGTAGTGAGGTTGGGGAAAGTTTTGTGGACAATATCCTCTAATATGTTTTTCTAGTTGCTTGTTCCCTCTCCCCCTCTTTCTGGGATTCCAATTAGTCATAAGTTTGGTCTCTTTATATAATCCGATATATCTTGGAGGTTTTGTTCATATTTTAAAATCATATTTTCTTTATTTTTGTCTAAGTTGATTCAAAGAAAGAGTCTTTGAGCTTTGAGAATGCTTCCTCATCTTGGTCTGTCCTGCTGTTAATATTTCTGATTGTATTATGAAATTCTTGTAGTGAGTTTTTTAGTTCTAGAAGAACAGTTTGTTTCTTTCTTAAAATGGCTATTTCATCTTTTGTATTATTTCACTGGATCCTTAGATTCCTTAGGTTGGGTTTTAACCTTCTCCTAAATCTTGGTGGTCTTTGCTGCTATCCAAATTCTAAATTCTATATCTATCATTTTAGCCATTTCAGTCTGGTTAAGAATCATTGCTGAGAAACTAGTGCAGTTTTTGGATGTAAGAAGACACTCTAGTTTTTGAATTGCCAGATTTCTTGTACTGGTCCTTTCTTATCTCTGTGGGCTAATGTTTCTTTTCTCTTTAAGTGGCTGTCCTTTGGATAGGGCTCTTTGCTTTTATAATCTTTGATGCCTTAGGATTTGACTGTAGTGTGAGTTGGGTTTAGTTGATTGGCTCCAATTCTGGATAATTTCAGCAGGTCAATGCTCAACTCAGCACTCCTGGGATGCATTCTTTAATTCTAGTGGGCTCAGATAAGATGTATGCCTTTTTTTTTTCTGGATCCTTGAGGTTAAGCACCTGCTGCACCAGTAGGGCTGAGTTGTTCCCGGTCCAATAGCAACAATGCTCTGATGGGAGTTACCAGTAAATGCATTTTGGCAGGATGGTAGCAGGTCCTGTGCATGTGTTCACCAGTGGCAGTGTGGCAGTGGGATTAGCGCACACATGTGTCAGTGAAGCAACGAGGTGAGTCTGTGGTTGAGTTCAGCAGCAAAACAGCATGGAAGATTGTGGGCAGGTTCCCATCAGTAGAATTCTGCCTGCAGAAGCTTTCTACTTGTTAGGTGGACATGATGACCACTGGCAAGTGCCTAGGCTGGGTAGCTGAAGTCATGCTGCAATCAGGTGCAGCCAGGTAGGAAACCCTGGACAGGCCAGCAGACATGGGCATGGTCAGATAAGACTGGACTTTTCCCACAGTCAATATAGCCCTGCTCTGTCCAGGCATGATAGCCAACAAAGGCCCAAACCACCTAGAAGAGTATGGCAAGCCTTAGGGGATCGGTACCCATGGCCGTACTTCACTGCAGCCCTCCCTGCATCAAACCTTTGGGCTCCATGCATGCTTGAGTTCTGTCTCTATCAACTCTCTGGGCAGGTCTCCCTTGCAGCTTAAATGTCTGTGGGAGTCATGGGGTCTCCTGCAGCTAGCATTCTGGAGATCTATGGTGAGAATGGGCCACTCCATACCTCTTTCACTTCCCCAGGAGCTTCTCAGGGCCATAAAAACATCTCGGTGCTTGGCAACTCTATGGAAGCTTCCCAGCTTCCTCCCATTTCAGCGTGGGTTCTGTGTCCTCCTTCTATACACTCTCAATGCCTTCTTTCCAAAGTGTTTTTCAAAGCATGCCAGTCTTCTGGATGGTCTGGTCTCAGTGGGAGAAGCTCTTCCTGTCCAAGTATATTTGGCCATCTTGACACCACGTTTCCCAGATTCCAGCATGTCCTGGCATCATATTTATGAATATTTCCATACCCACGGGTCACAGGGTTATGTGACTATAGTCTCATACTTTATAGTTTGTCTCAAAGCCAGGTATTGTCGGTTGATTGTTGGTTCTACTGAAGTTTAAATATGTTCTTACTAACTGATTCTCTGCCTGCTGGATCTGTCAATTATTGAGAGAAGCGGTGAAGTATTTAAGTGTAAGAGTGGATTCATCTATTTCTCCGTGCATTTCTGTCTGATTTTGTGCTGTGTATTTCAACCCGTTGTTAGGCAGATTTCCATTAAAGCCTGTTATGTCTTTTTGAAGAATTTACCGTTGCATTATTATGTAATGCCCCCATTTGTCCCTGATACATTTCCTTGCTCTGAAATCTGCTCTGTCTATAGGACACAGCTCCTGCACATTTCTTTATTTTTTTTAACTGATAAACTATTTTTTAGAGCAGTTTTAGGTTCAAAGCAAAATTTTGTTAAAGTATAGTATGTTTCCATATACTCCTAGTCTAAAAACACATACAACCTCACCTACAACTGACATCCCATACTACCATGATACACGTTGGCACATCATTATCTCCCAAAGTCTGTAGTTTACTTTAGTGTTCACACTTGGTTTTGTATATTCTATGAATTTTAACAAATGTATGATGACATGTATTCAGAACTGTTGTATCGTACATATTTTCAGTGTCCTGAAAAATCTCTCTGCCCTGTCTATTCTTTCCTTCTTCCCAGCAAATTTGACTGTCTCCATGGTTTTGGCATTTCCAGAATAAATGTCCTATAGTTGGGAAAAATAAAGTAAGGAGAATTTTCAGATTGGCTTGTTTCATTTAGTAATATATATTTAAGTTTCCTCTATGTTTTCTTATGGCTTTATAGCTTATTTCTTTTTAGCACTGAATAATACTTTATTATCTGAATAATAGTTTACTTATCCAGTCACCTATTGAAAGACATCCTGGTCATTTCCAAGTGTTAACACTTATGAGTGAAGCTGCTATAAATATTGTTGTGCAATATTTATAGCATGAATAAATCTATAAATAAATAAATACTAAATTATTTATTATTAGTATTTATTAAAATTATAGATTTATTAAATAATAAATTTATTATTATTTAATAATAAATATTAAATCTATAAATAAATAAAAACATGAAAAAATCTCATGTTTTTTCATGAACATAAGATTTCAATTCATTTTTGTAAATAATAGGAAATAAGAGTGCTGCATGGTGTGGTAAGAGTATGTTTCTTCAGTTTTGTAAGAAACTACCAAAATGTGTTCTGAGGTGGTTGTACTGTATTACACTAGTAATAAATGATAGTTTCTTTTTATTCACATCCTCATCAACATTTGCAGTTATTAGTACTTTGAATTTTGGGTATTGTAGTAACTATACTGGTATCTCATTGTGGTAATAATTTGCAATTGCCTAATGACGTATGATGTTGATCACCATTTCATATGCTTATTTACCATCTCATCTGTTTTTGTGAGGTATTTGTTCAGGCCTTTAACCCATTTTTAATCAAGTTCTTTAATTTATTACTATTTAATTTTAAGTGTTCTTTGTATATTTTGCAGTTTTTTATCAGCTATGTCTTTTGGAAATATTTTCTCCTATTTAGTATCTTGTCTTCTCATCCTCTTGATATTGTCTTTCACAGAGCAGAGGTTTTTACTTTTAATAAAACACACTTTATCAACTATTTCTTTCATGGGCCATGCATTTTGAACTGCATCTAAAAAATCATTGCTATAACCAGGGTCACCTAGATTTTGTGTGTGTGTTATGTTCTAGGAGTTTTATAGTTTTGCACTTTGCATGTAAGACTATGATTCGTTTTTGAGTTAATTTTTTAGAAGTTAACTGTGTCTAGATTGATTTTTTTGCATATGGATGTCAATCTGTTTCCACATAATTTGTTTAAAAATATTTTCTCTATTGTATTGCTTTTGCTCCTTTGTCCAAGATCAATTTATATATTTATGCAGATCTATTTCTGGGTTCTCTACTCTCCTCCATTGGTATGTTTGTCTATTCTTTCACCCATATCATGCCATCTTGATTACTGTAGCTTTATAATATGTCTTAAAGTCAGGTAGTGTTAGTCGTCTGATTTTGTTCTTCTTCACTATTGACTTGACAATTCTGGGTCTTTTCCAGTTAATACCAATTAGCTGATACCCGCAAGATAATTTGTTGGCATTTGGTTGGGATTGTATTGAATCTGTAAATCAAATTGCATTGAATCTATAGAATCTATCGATAAGAACATTTCGGCATTGTTGAGTCTTTTTATTTATGAATATGTCATAGCTCTCCATTTTATTTTTAATATATTTCATCTAAACTTTTTAGTTCTCCTCATACAGATTTTGTACATATTTTGTTAGATTTTACCCAAGTATTTCATTTTAAGAAATTCGAATGCAAATGGTAATTTTTTTAAATTTTTACTTCCACTTCTTCCAGCTGGTGTTCAAAAGCAGTGGGAAAGGGGGCCAGCTATCTTTTGATTAGTGTTAACAGAATAATTCTTTCTCCATACATTTAAACTGTATGTGTCTTTATACTTAAAGTGAATTTCTTGTAGACAACATATAGTTGGGTACTGTTTCTTGGTCTACTTTGGCAATGACTGTGCCTTAATTGTTTAAAAACTTTATTAATATGGTTGGATAAATATCTACCATATTTGTTAATTATTCTATTTTTTGCCCTTGTTCTTTCTCTTGGTTTTTGTTTTGTCTTTCGCTGTTTCTTTTTTTTTTAATTTTTATTTTATTTGGTTTTAATTGAGCATTTTATATATATCCATTTTCTCTCCTTTCTTAGCATATTAATTATACTTCCAATTTTACTTAGCTAGCAAGTGATCTAGAGTGTGAAAGATACAATTATAATTAATTCATTTTCAAATAACACTCTACCACTTTATGGGCAGTGCAATGACCTTATAACTAAGTATTTCCAAAGTATTTTGGGTAAGATGTACCTTTGTATTTCCTTCCTTTTATTCTTTATATCATGCATTGCCATCATATGTTTTACTTATCCATAAACTATAAACATTAAATGTTGTTGCTATTATTAAACACACTATTATCTATTAGATTTAAAAATAAGAGTTTTATTATTCCTTCATTTACCTTCTGTAATGGTCTTTTTTCTTTATGTAGATGAGTTTCTAATCTATATCATTTTCTTTTCTCCTGAATAACTTCTTATAACATTTCTTGTATACAAGTCAAATGGCAGCAAATTTCTTCAATTTTTATTTGTTTGAGAGCATCTTTATTTCTTCTTCACTGTTGAATGATAATTTTTCAGGATACAGTATTCTAGATTGGTGGATTTTTTCTCTCAACACTTTAAATATTTCACTACCTTCTCTACTTCTTTACATGGTTGCTAAGGAGAATTCTGATGTAATTCTTATCTTTTCTTATTCTGATGTAATTTCTTATCCTTGTTCCTCTATAAGCAAGTTATTGCCCCCAAATCTGGTTTGTTTCAATATTTTATATTTGTCTTTTATTTTTTGAAGTTTAGGTATAATACACCTTAGTGTAGATTTCTTGTCATTCATATTGCTTAGTGTTGTCTGAGCCTCCTGAATTTGTGTTTTTATATCTGACATCAATTTTGGAGACTTCTCAGTTATTATTGCTTCAAATATTTCTCCTGTTCTCTTTTCTTCTGGTATTTCTATTCCATATGGTACTTTTTTCAGTTGTCCCACAGTTCTGGATATTCTGTTATTCTGTTAGTCTTTTTTCCTTTTCTTTTCAGCTTTGAAAGTTTTTACTGACATATCAGCAAGTTTTCTAATTCTTTTCTCAGCCATGCCAATTCTGCTAATGAGCTTTTCAAAGGAATCACACATTAATGTTATGGGTTTTTTTTTAAATTTCTGGCATTTGTGTTTTATTCTTTTTTAGAATTTCCATCTCTATGCTTATGTTACTCATCTGTTCTTACTTATCTACTTCTTCATTAGAACCTTTCACATGAAGGTTCCTAATTTAAGTTTGGAATTGAAATTGAATTTTAAATTGAATTTAAATTTCCAATGATAACTCTGACATTCTTGCTATATCTGAGTCTGCTGTTGATATGATTTGGCTCTGTCTCCCCACATAAATCTCACCTTGAATTGTAATAATTCCTACATGTCAGGGGCAGGACCAGGTAGAGAGAATTGAATCATGGCGGAAGTTTTCCCGTGCTGTTCTCATGATAGTGAGTGGGTTCTCATGAGATCTGATGGTTTTCAAGGGGGCCGCTCTCTTCACTCGGCACTCATTCTCTCTCCTGCCCTGTGAAGAGGTGCCTTCTGCCATGATTGTATGCTTCCTGAGGCCTCCCCAGCCATACAGAACAGTGAGTCAATTAAACCTCTTTACTTTATAAATTACCCAGTCTCGAGCTATTTCTTCATAGCAATGTGAGAATGGACTAATGCAGCTGTGATGTCTGGTCTCTCTTCAAATTGTGATTTGTTTCTTTGAATATGCCTTATAGATTATTGTTGACAGCTGACATGATGTACTGGGAAAAACAAGCAAACAAACGAACAAACAAAAAACTACAGTAAATAGGCTTTTAGTTATGTTATAGCAAGGAATGTGGGAAAGAAAAGTGTTCTAAAATCATATGATTAGGTGTAGGCTTTTTAGTGAGACTTTGTCCCTGATTTTTGTCGCTTACTAGTGCTTCTCAGGTTCCCCTTCCCATCCTTAGGAAAGGAAACCGATGGCTAGAGGGACACGTATGTGGGTTTTTCTCTGCCCCCATGTGGAGGGCTAGAGTGGGTCAGAGTTAGGTATTTTCCTTTCCCTAGTTCGGTTACGCTCTGATAAATCCCAGTAGGTTAGGGTCTGGTAAAATAGTTTATTTTCAGAAAAAGCCTTTAAAGATAAATTAAATGCACTGGGTCCATTTCAAAATGGCTTATTTTCCCTGCCTCCTACTGAAATCAAGAGGGGATTTTTCTTCAATAATCCCTTTAAGAATCTGGTAGGACTCAAGGAGATAATACTCACAAAAGTATGACCTTCTAAGTATGATGTTCTCTCTCTTCCCCTTACAAGTGGTCCTCCTGGGTTTTCTGATTATCAGACTTTTCCACAATTAGCCTCTAACAATTTGCCAATTATAAAATCACAGTTTAGAGTTGTCCTACCCTGCTTCTGGTTCCCCAGGTAAAATGCTAGTAATATGGAAAACTGAATGTCAGATATAAGGGATATTTTCTTTCTCTGTACTATCCTTGCATTTTCTCTGTGGATCTAAACTATTTTACAATTTTAAAAATTATTTAAAAAATACGTACTTTGAAATAGTAATTAAGTTTTTGGAAAAATGTCGGAAGATGAAATGTTTTAGGTTGACTGTTTCTCTTTGCCCAAAACAGTTCCAGATTTAACACTGAAAATTATCTTAGTAAACGCCAGTCCCAGGCAAACCATTGCAGTTGTTCACCTTAAATGTGCCCAGGAACTAATAATATTCCAGATAGCTAGGCCTCTGAGGGATTTTCTTGCCTAAGCTGAATTAATTTATAATTTCCATATGTGATTATTAGCCCTTGTATGTCTTGACACGTTGATGGTTTCTAGGCTTTTTCTAATAAAATATTTTATATGATTACCCTATAGCTCATGTTAGCAACTTACCACTATATCTACCATATTTAACGCTCACCGAAGTCAGTCAAAGGTTTGAAGTACATTTGCAGAGAGGTAGTTAGAAATTTATTACTAATATACTAAAAATCTTATGGTTTGTTACTACCATCTTCCAAAACTGTCCAGGTTTGGGTGCTTGTTCAGCATCCACGAAGGCACATGAACTATTGGCATATGTCAACATCTGACGCCACTATGAACAACAAAAAACATTCATCCTTTTAGTTTGTGTTTTATAATTTTTAATTATTCTTTCTTATAAACCACCACTTCTTAATGTGACTATTTTTTAAATAACATATTTTTATTCTAGAATAGAATGAGCCTCATGTAGCTTTGGAAACAGCAAATTATTCTTGAATTTATTTGTGTCATTGAATACAGTAGCCCACTATATACATATGGTAAAATAAATTAAGGAGGTTATTTCTCTGTTTACAAAAGGTTATTCAGAAATTGTGTGTGTATGTACATGTATGTGTTTCCCATTGACATCTAAAAATAGTAGCTATACCTAATAGGTGCTCTTAATCAATTGGCAAGTATATCATTACTGCTTATTTCTCCAATTTTGAAACTGTAACAATGAATATGGCTTTGAGTAATTACTTCTGTTTACATTAGATTTTCCTAAATGTGTCTGCACATTTAAACTAGTTGTACATCTTTCAAAAATTCCAAAGTCCAGGCCACATTCCAGACCTTCCTCTTTTGAGGTGTCACACACATATAAGTATTTTTTGAAGCTACTTGTGTGACTCCAGGGTGCAGGTAAATTTGAGAACCACTGAGTCACATGCTGAAATAGTTTTTAGGACAATTTAAATAATCAAATGTGTATAGATAAAGTGTGTGGAGGTAAGTTTCATACCTTTAAAATAACTTTTATTGACAGTCAAACATATCTTAACATTATTAGCTTGTGAAATATCATCTTATTAATCATCAAATGTCAGAATATGGATTTCCTACTATGGACAGTTTTCTATAATAAAGTAAAAAATATTGTATTTTAATGAACGCTAATATCCTCTTTACATTCTTATTCTCGGTTTTGTGAACATAGGCTAGAATTGTGTGCATATTCATAAGGCAATAATTTCCTAAAGCTAGTTCTTATGAGTTGAGAAATGATCTATATAACCAGTCTACATCCATTTACTATCTCAGAGATCAAAAACCATATCAGAGAAGCATCTATGAAATGATTGATAGTATATAATTTTGTGTTCTACAGTGTGGGAACCTGTTAGTTACAGGAAAAGAAATTAACCATTGAGTCATTTAGAAGTTTTTTACAATTAAAAGTTTTATTCCTGCAGGAACTACAAGACAATTAAATGAAATGCTAACAACAAATTAAATGCTTTATAGGTCAGTCATCCCATTAGGTCTCTTTAGGGAAGCTGTTCTCATATAAAGCATGCCATAACCTATTTGCATAATGATTCCATCTTAACTATGCCTTCTGCTTTTTTATGCCATGTTGTTTATCCTGATGCATGGCTGATATAGGAGAGATGTAAAAGTTGCTATTTACGGCAAATAAAATTTGCAGAATCTAAGCATAGTAAACTAAGCATATTAAACCTGATAGTGAGTCTTTAAAAACCATAGATGTGATCTGGTATAAAATACATTAAAGCTATGCCTTCACAGTCAAAGAAAATCAGATAATTGAAGTAATACTATAAGGTAGTTTGGGCCAAACAAACAAAACTTTCTATGAAAGAAAATAACATGTGAGTGCCTTACTCTTAAACATTGTTCATCTACACAGCCTGAACCAATTTTGGATTGTTCAACCCTTCATTTCACATTGCTTATGTGCACACAAGCAAAATGTAACACATAGATTTAGCAATATTTTGGTCCTGTAATTATAATGTATTTTATGGTGAAAAAAATATATATATATACATATTATATTTACTTATATAATTGACCTCTCTTGTTAAATTTATTTTAAAATGGGAGAAGAAATAATTAACTGAATATCGGCCCTGCTAACTTCACCGGCTTTCATTTTTTTTTGTTTCTAATCCTTATTTACTGAATGACGTGGGATGTACTGATCAGAAGAGAGATTAATCAAAATGGAAATCTCTTTTGTTGACATTTACAAACTTTTATATTTATTATGTATTTTTCATAGAAGAAATCATTTTAATTGAGATATATTTTGCTTTGTATTTCAGGTTTTATAATTTTATAGCACTTGGTGAAATTATGTTGCCTGGTGTACTTTTTTTGCAATAAACTCCATTGTTAGTTTTGCTAGTGAGCCAAGGTGATTTTCCAAACCAAAGAGATAAACTTCAGTATATATGTTTCATGCAAACTTTTAAATTTTAAGCAACAGAACCCCAATTCTTAAAAACACACATTTATTGCAGTCAGAATTTAAGTAATCTTTCCCTGGTAGATATACAGACATTGCCTTTGGCCAAAACACATGGGGCGGGGGGCATATGGCTAGCAAAAGGATTGTGATGGCTAATTTTATATGTCAACTTGACTACTCATGGGGTACCCTGATAATCGATGAAACATTATTCTGGGTGTCTTTGAGTATGTTTTTGAATAAGATGACCTCTGAGTTGGTAGATTGAGTGAAACAGATTGCCAACTCTACTATGAGTGGCCCTTATCTAATCAGTTGAAGTCATGAATAGAGCTAAAAGGCTGATTCTCCAAGATTAAAGGACAATTCCTCCTGCCTTACCATTTGAGCTGGGAAATAGGTCTTTTGTTTCTGTCTGTAGACTCAAACTGATACATCAGCTCTTCTTTGATCTTGAACCTGCTAGTTTTCAGATTGGAACTTACACCATCAGCTCTCCTGGGTCTCCAGCTGGCCAACTGCAGATCTTGGGACTTCTCAGTGCCCCTAACCATGTGAGACAATTCCTTATAATAAATCTGTCTCCTTCTCTCTCTCCATACACATGCACACACACACACACACACACACACCACACACACACACACACACACACACACACACACACACATTCTAACAGTTCTATTTCTCTGGAGAGCCCTGACTAATACAAAGAAAAAAAAACATTTTTGTGTGTAACATAGTTATAGAGTAAAATCTTTCTCTGGTTCACTTCCTCCGTGCTGCCACCTATATACCGTGAGTAGTAAAAAATATGATAGGTGTGATTGGATTACTTATACAATTTTCTTCCTGAAAAGAATGCCTATTTGTAAAATATTTTTGCCTTGTCCTGTTGTTCCTGTTTATCATCTACTTTCCTCTTCCACATTTTTTTTGTAGAAGAAACTGTTTTTTTAGTTACAAAAATGACCTTTGATCACTCCAACCGTATTCTAATAAGATTGCTAATAATAGTCCATTGCTTAGTTTCCATGTAATCCGGATCTTTCTTACCATAGTTTCCTATCTACCTGATCACAAAGCTTCATTTTCTTGTTTTATTGGTTAATCTAAAGGGCTGTGATGGAACTGAACATGGACCAATCAGATTCTTAGCTTATGATTTATATAATACAAATCTGAGAAAAAGGTTCTCGTTCCTCTTTACTCTCTGAGACCATTAATGTAGGAATGATGTGATCCTAGAGCAGATTGAGGTCATACCACACTTTACCAACATAACCTGCTACCTAAATTCCCTCGATTCTGTGAGCTATATCAGTATTCTCTTGATGAATGTCTTGCTTTATTTATAACAATATGAGTTAGATTTTGTTACTTGTAATCGAAATGTTTCTTACCAACACATCATCACTGATAAATTGGGAACATGTTGATCTCATAGATTATAGCAGGTGCCACAAATTAGTACTCCCTAATCCAAACCCAATCTATAGCAGTGTTGTACTGTAAACCATGTCTCTGGAAAATAAAGAATAAGAATTAAAAAAACAAGAAGAGTTGTATCATTTGCTTATTTCCATGGTGTAAATACTTTCACCATGGTTAATCTACAGCTACCCATGTAATGTCACTAAAGGTAGAGTTGGAAAAATGTGCACCATTAGTCATTAGTTCTCATAAGCAGACGTGCGTGTGTGTTTGTGTGTGTGTGTGTGTGTGTATGTGTGTAATCATTCTGGCTTCACTGATGCAGAGATATATTTAGGAGAATAGGGGAGTGATTTTGATCAAAATAGTGTTTGTTCACATTATCATCCACATGTACATTCACTGTTATTATGTTTAAAAAATTAGAAAAAAGGTTAACTTTCAAATTTTTTTCTCAAAATTACATTTGGCTGCATTCACAAATAAAGCATTTGCTGGAACTGCATGTCCTCCCCAGGGTTCTCACTAGCCCTATTAATGCCATAACAATAACACTAAGTGTCAGTTGCAATTTATATTCATATACATAATCCATATTTGCACTACATATTTAGCTTATAAAAGCATTTGAGCTTAGATTACTGCCCTACACGTATTGGTTGCATTAACAGTTTCTTAGATCAGGATCCAGAATTTCAAATGTTATTGGGTTTTCCAGTTTTGCTATTTATACATAGTTTAAAAATTAGTGAAATGTCTATTGAATTTCCTTTTTAGTTTTATTTAAAAAAATTCCTATAAAATGTGTAATAAATGTGTTAGGGCATAGAAGTTAAAATCTACATTATCTGTTCCTAACTGGCTTTGATCCCTAACAATGAATTTTAGATAGCAAAAAAAGTCTCTGGTATATGTCTAACATAATATTGCATCTTCTCTTTGGCCCATTGCTTTGTTCTTAGGTAAAGGTAGTAGTAATGTGATATTCCTATTGGTATCAGCTGTCTTGGAAAATATATTTAAATTCTAAATAGTATTAAATGATATGAAAGATTCTTCCATGTGAACAAAGTTTATCTGGGTATTTGCAGATAAACCCAACTATAAGAAAGTAAATTATTACATATTTGTTAACATTTAGTTTTGTTAAATTAAAATTTGGTGAGCTTACAATGTAATTGTTTTTCTCTGTAATACAATACACAGTAACATAATACCCTGAATTTGTTGTATTTTTTGTGTCAACCTCTAAATGACTTGAAAAGACTTGCAGTATACAATCATAAAGAAAAATGATCTCAAATAATTGCTGCTGGTATACTAAATCCCATTGAATATATATTTGCTCTGTTACATAAATGTTAAACCTGACATGAAGGTATAGTGTACACTTCTGGGGATTAGCAGAATTAGAGAATTCTGAATCCTAATTCTATAGCTCCTAATTACTAGTTAAGAAGTTTTGGACAAGCAGTAACTTATGCTCTTTACCTTAGTTGTTTCTTTTGCAAAAAGAATAACATGATAGAACCCAAACTGTTAGCTTTATATGAGGATTTCAAGATATAATATATTCAAACTTTGTATGATAGAACTTGGTTATAGTTATATCTCAACAATATTAACTATTATCAGTGTACACCATTATAACAACATTTATCAGATCAGCAGATGAATGCTTAATCACTTCTATGGCAACAACTTTACTTTTTCTACAGGAGGCTTCCTTTGTATTCTATGATAGTGGCCCTTCACCATGACTGTACATAGGAATCAAGTGAGAAGCTTAAGTATAAGCCCCACACCTCTTCTTGAGGGATCTTGATTTAATTTGTCTGAGGATGAGGCGAGACTCTAGTATTTTTTTCAATTCCCCAGGTAATTATAATATGCAGCTGATATTCAAAACCACTGCTCTAAGGAAACCAGAAGCCCCATATGTTATGAAACATCTGCTTATAAAAATTATTGATCATGAGACTTCAAGTGCATTTTGTTGATGAAATGTACAATCTCAATTTCATACGTATGGAATTATTAGAGCGGACTTTTCACAGTCACCAATTTAACATCACAGTTACACCTGCTTGCATTTAACTCTGAAAGCTCCATGACTGCCTCTAATGTGTTCAGGTGTTGGAGCATTAGTTGGATGGACTGGAAGGGAAAGCTTGTACGAAGAACTGAGACAATTACTGAGCTTAGCAATAGCATAGTATCTCCAATATGTCTGTGACAATAAGGCATTATTTTTCAACTTATATTTCTATATGTATAACCCTCAAGAAGATACACACACACACACACACACACGAGAGAGAGAGAGAGAGAGAGAGAGAGAGAAACCACACATAGTAAGCTTTTTGTGAGCTGTCACTTTATGTCATACTGTCCTTTAGATTTTAGATACGGTTACTCAAACATTTTTCTACATCTCAATGAAAAGCCTAGTGTTCTACCAAAAATTTTTGTGAATTCCTACTAATCTTACAGTCTCAGAATCACTTCAACTCTAACTTCTGGCCTCAAAATCTAACTCCCCGTTACATATCTTGGGGAAGAACCCATTACTTTGCTCTGGTGTTGACAGAAATGTGGAACTCATTCCTTCAATTTGAGGATTGAATTCTGTATTTTTTTATTTAAGGAAACAAAATATGATTTTTAAATCCTTTTCCTCAAAACAAAGAACAGTATCCAAAGATAAGTCCAAAAACTGCTGACAACTTTAAAATTAAAGGTTGTTCCAACTTCTAACCATTAATTTCCTAAAATTCTGAAAGTTCCAATATCAGGAAACTCTATTGGCATTCAAACCTCCATAGAACTTTTGTGGTCCTTTGAAAAGCACAATCATTTCTCAGAAGGTGTCTTTCTAGGCTCAAAGATGAGAAGACAGATTTTTCTATGAGTTCTCCCATTAGGAATAAATTATACTGATGAATCTGCTATTCTATTTTTTTCCATTTTAAATGAAAACATTATATAATCTTTTCCCATAATTAGATAAGAAAAAGTTTTCAACCAGTAACCCTTTTTTTTTTTAACTTAACAGGCTTTTTCAAATTCTAGAACAAGACTCAATCTCATTCTTGTAGCTCCTGTTATCACACTTAACTATCAAAACTTATATCTATCAGTGGTAATACAAGTTCTAGCGGTGGCAAACGAGTTACTTTTTTCCTTCAGTGTATCATACTTTGGTTACACATTGAGAGGAAATCTGCAAATCTTTAATCCACATACCAACCTCAAAGAAAATATCAGTGTAGAGTCAGTGTCCCCACCCAAACTAAAAATATGAGAGATAATTACTTAGTTAAGTATTAGACATGCACAAGTAATGCTACATGCTGCTTATACTGATTATTTAGGGACATAGAAACCTAAATGAAATGGTTAGTATTATCAGCATGTAGCGGTTATTACTGTCAGTGAGTAAATTCCCTGGATGTGGGAAAAGGAACATTTTCATTCTCTATAACTTGAACGTGCCATGTAGTTGACAAATCTCAGAGCATTTCCCTAGATTTGAGTGACAAAGAGAGAAATTCACTTACTGAGAAGTGTTTCTTCCATTACACTTGTGTAAACGTGTAATTCCTTCTGGTTTCTATGGAACAACCTTGGTCATAGCAATTAAAGTGATTATTACCATAAGTTTTTCCATTATCCCTTTTCAAAGGCAAGAAGTTTGTGTATAATACAGAGATGTGCTGTTTCAAACGGTTTCCAAGTGGATTGTCCAGATTAGCAATATTTTCCATTAACTGTGGTAGCAATACACTTCATATTTGATTTTCAAGATTGCTGATATCTTAGACAAAAAATAGATCTAGTATTTATTTCAGAACTATTCCCCATATTCTGTGGCCAGAGCCACATAAGGATATCAAAATCAGAAAATGGCCCTCTTGGGAAAAATCATTTGTATCTTTTGTCTTCACAAGGAGTCTTCACGTATATTTTTAAATCAGGTTTTGGTTTTGTGCATCTCTAGTCAAAATTCTGTGTTCCCTACAAAAGGCTCTTGTTCTTTCCTCAATTTTTTTTTTCATTTCCTTTGACTCCTTTGACTCCTCTACTCTCTGCTTGGTTATAGTGATTTAACCATGGGTAAGTACTTGACTACAACTATCTATGGTGGAAATATTATTAATTCCTACTATTATTTCTACAGAAGAATGTCCACAACTTGATTTTTCCAAATAGATTGACTGGTGATAGCTTATTGGATAAGCCTAAAAGAGAGAACATCAGAATCTTTATTGTTCATGAACTTGTAGCAAACATTCTTATTTCTGCTACTATCTTACCCACCATGACCCACTATGAGTGTAAACACACAGACGTGTGAATTGTTCTTAGTCCATATTTGAAAAGACAAACCTTACTTGATTTTATCTTTACTTTCCTACTTTCTAACCAAGAACTGTGAAATAGAGTAGATAACCTCAGTAACATACTTTCACTTACATAACCTGTAATTATCAGCTCCCATTTTAAAACCCTCTCATAGAATGTTTCCTAAACTTATTCAAGTTTAAATGGCTAGAAGGGGATTGGGATTGCTTTTTTATCTGCAAGTCATTCATCTGTCCCTTCTGTATTAAAATTCTTTCACTAAGAGGTTTTCAATCCCCAAATTTATTCATTTATTCATTTATTTGTAGTACCTATGCAATTGTATACTGTAAAATGAATCTTTCATGAACCAATGGAGAAATTTCATCTTGTAAAAAAATTTCTTTCACCAATATTTTCTTTCTAGTTTTCAGCATGTAAATATTGCACAAATGTTCCATTTCTCTAGGTATTTCATGTTAATACAATTTATATGATATTTTTATTTGAATTTTAAATGTTCATAATAATATATAAAAGTACTATTAAAATATGAATATTGACATTGTTCCCTGTGAAATTATTAAACTTAATAGGTTAAATAACTTTTGAATATTTAATTTTCTACACACTTGATAATATTGTCTAACTATAAAGACAGTTTTGTTTCTTCCTTTAAATTTTTTTTTAATCATTGTATAGGGAGGTATTGAATATAATGGTGCACATGAACAACCCTGCCTCATATCCATTCTCAGCAGGAAAGCATTTATTATTTTGCCAATAAGTATGATATTAAGTGTTTTGTGGAATCCTATCATCAAATATAGGAAGTTCCCTATAAGATTGTTGAGTTTTTATCATGAAATGATGTTTAATTTTGTCAACTACTTTTTCTTTATCTATTGAGATTGTTACATTATTTTTTAAATAGGTTGATGTTTGGTTCATTTAGGCTGCTATAACAGAATACCATAGCCTGGGTGACTTATAAGAAACAGAAATATATTTATCACAGTTCTGGAGACTTGGAAGTCCAAGATCAAAATGCCAAAAGATTCTACGTCTAGTATGAGCCTACTTCTTAGTTCAGAGACTGCATTTTTAACATACAAATTTTGGGAGGACAAAAAATGTTTAGTCTATAGCAGACAGGGAAAAAGAGAGAGACAGAGACAGTAATATAGAACTATCATGTGTTCATGATATAATGAATCAAAATGATTTCCAAATGTTTAACTGATGTTAAATTTGGGCGATAAGTTTCACTTGGCTATGATGTGTATCCTTTTCCAATATTGCTGAATTTAATTTGCTATAGTTATGTTAAAGATTTCTAGACTTTTTCATGAGGCATATTAGATTATAGGTATCTTTTCTTGTGTTATTTTTGTGTGGTTTTGGTGTCAAAGTGATGCTGGCCTTATAAAATGACTTGGAGAGGTTTTCTCCTGTTCTTTGTCCCAGCAGCAGCAGATCAATAAAGAAATGGAAAATCTGAACAAAATTATAAATCAACTAGCTCTAATAGACATATAAACACTTCATCCAGCAGCTTGCAGAATATACATTCTTCCTAAGTGCATATGGAACATTCTCTAAGATAGACTATATGTTAGACCATAAAATAAGCTTCAATTAATGTTAAAGTATTAATGTACAAAGAACATTCACCCTTCGCAATGGAGTAGAATTACAAATTAATAACAGAATAAATTTGGAAAATTCACAGAGTTTAATGGAATTAAACAATATACTATGAAACAAACAATGTTAAAAAACAAAGGGGAAATTATTATAAAACACTTTGAGATGAATGAAAATGAAGACAAAATATGCTAAAATTTATGGAATGCAGGGAAAGCAATTCTGATAGAGAAATGTATATCTGTAAATGCCCTTAGTTAAAAAGGAAGAAAGATTTCAAATCAACAACCGAACTTTCCAGATTAAAACACTGAAAAAATGGTAAACTAAGCCTAAATAAAGCAGAAGGGAAGAAATAATTAAATTAAGAATAGGAAAACAGTAAAAAAAATCAATAAAATCAAAAGTTTGATCTTTGAAAAGATTAATAAAATTGATAAGAGTTTTTCCTATATTGACAAAGACAGTAAGAGTAGGCTCAAGTTACTAAAAACAAAAATCCCAAAGGGGACATTATTGCCAACCTCAAAGAAATAAAAAGAATTGTATTTGAATACTATAAACAGCAATGTATGCAAACAAATTGAATAACTTAGGTGAAATGGACAAATTGCAGAGAGATACAAAATCAAGGTGACCCTAGAAATGCTTCTTTCTGGAGGCTCTGAGGGGAGAAACTGTCTCATTACTCTCTCTGAGTTTCTGGTGATTGACAGTAATCATGTCATTTCTTGCCCTGTAGATTCATCACTTCATTCTCTGCCTCCATCTTACATTGTCTTCTCCTTGTTTCTCTGTGTACTCTTCTGTTCTTATAAGAATACCAGTCATTGAATATAGGGTCCACCCTAAATCCAGTATGTTATCAGGTTGAAATCCTTAACTAATTACATTTATGAAGATATTACTTAGAAATAAGGTGACATTCTGAGGTTGCAGGTGAATAAATTGTCTTAATTTTTATTGTCTGAAAGAGTTTTAGATCTGGTTTCATATTTGGAAACATTTTCACTGGATACCAAATTTTAGGTTAATAATTGTTTTTCTTTCATTTCTTTAAAGATGGGCTATTGTCAGCAAAGACTTGGAACCAACCCAAATGTCCATCAATGATAGACTGGATTAAGAAAATGTGGCACATGTACACCATGGAATACTATACAGCAATAAAAAAGGATGAGTTCATGTCCTTTGTAGGGACGTGGATGAAGCTGGAAACCATCATTCTGAGCAAACTGTTGCAAGGACAGAAAACCAAACACCGCATGTTCTCACTCATAGGTGGGAATTGGACAATGAGAACACTTGGACACAGGGTGGGGAACATTACACACTGGGGCCTGTCGTGGGGTGGGGGGAGGGGGGAGGGATAGCACTAGGAGAAATACCTAATGTAAATGACGAGTTAATGGGTGCAGCACACCAACATGGCACATGTATACATATGTAAGAAACCTGCACGTTGTGCACATGTACCCTAGAACTTAAAGTATAGTAATAATAATAATAATAATTCAAACTTCTTTATCCAGAAAAAAAAATGGGCCATTGCCTTCTGGCTTTTGTAGTTTCTGACAAAAAGCCTGAGTTCATTCTTGTATTTGTTCTTTTATGCCTTTTATATCTTTCTATTTTGCTTGCTTTTCAACTTCTAAATGTTTAAATATATTGTTTATAGGCTTTTAATTTTACCCTTGACCCCAGCCTACAAATGTCAGGCATGGGTCTCCTTCATCAAATTATTGGATGGAGGCTGAAAGTTTTGTACTACATTCATCTTTTTAGTTCTGTATTTTATTCAGTAAGAATGCAAATAATTAGAATGAATAAGTTTTAAGCTCACTTTCATCTCTGTGACGATAAATATATGAGAGCAGAAGGAAAGTTTGGGGAGAGCAGGTAGTAACTACAAAATCCTGGGACACCTATAGAAAATAATCATGAAAAGGAAGAAGGGCAATAAAGACAAAAAAGATGTGTGATAATTGGACAAATTCATTCATTCTATGTATTTGCTTATTTCACTTATATTTTTAATATATGTACTAAGGTACTGCAGAAATAAGGCAAAATTGAAATGAATGAATAAAGCCAAACCTTTACTATCCCCAAATGTCATTTCTAAGGCCAGTTATAGAATAAACCACTAAGTATAAAATATTATTATGGATTAGCTTTCAATTATAATGGTGATACTTACAAAATGACCAAGATTGATTTATAGTCACATGGAGTGTGTGCTTTTTTGTAAGCAATACTGATCTATGTGCAAAAAAATAATGCCTGGTTTATTTCTGTAACATTTTTAAATAATCAAGAGCTAAGTATAAAAGTTTTGCCTAAGCACAGCATTCCCACATCAGTTCAAAAGTTAATTCTTTTACATATCAGAAGGGTGCCCTTTGAGGCACAGCTCAGAGCAGAGGATTTATTTTATAAAGCCCACATTCACTGGGCATGCATAGCAAATATTGTCATTAAGAATTTAGTGTTAAAGGAGCTACACTACTGTTCAAAAGGGGCACCGAGGTGAACATGATAATGAAAACAGGCAGTTAAGAGGTAGTCACTTCCAGCAATTTTTGGATTGTGCTTTTCCTCTTTTGTGCCTTAAAAAAAAAAAAAAATCAACTTGAGAAGGTTGCAGATAAGACTGGAAGAAAAGAAAGAACTGATATACAGGTCAAGAGCTCAGAGTTTAGAGGAGCCTGACCCAGAAAGCACAAGTTAATATTGCTACAGCTAACAAAGAAGTAGAGTGCTTGTTAAATAAAGCCAATGACAAAATCTAGAATGTAGCACTTTGGGGAAAGCTGATAATTAACCCTCCATAACCTCTATTATTTTTCTGTGTGTGGTTAGACTAAGTTGCCAATAACAGATGGAAAATTGATCAAAGCAATTGATCAAAATTATTGAGATGTAAATTGCAAACCAGATGTGGTATCTGAACGTGTGAAGGGGGAAATAAATCACCATCAAAAAATGTTAAAAGTAACAAAAATTGTAGAACATTTTAGCAACATATTTCCTGTGGTGGAGTGGCGTTAACCATTTCCTTTCTCCACATCCTGACCCAGCAGTATGAGAAAATTCCAACCAGCCTTAAGGAAAACTAATCCCGTCTTTATCCACTTGTAGCAAACTATGTACCAGGGAAAATAAATTTGCTAAAATAATTAAATGTCATGTATTGATTCTGTAGCAAGAGCTATTTAAAGTAAGTCTGGATTAAGTAGCATTGGAATGGGCACTGAAAATAATAAAAATAGCATATAGTTCTTGCACAAATAGGTTAGCTATGAAAAAGACTAAAGAAATATTTTGATTTAAATCCTGCCTATCTAACACACAACAAATATATTCTGAGCCTCTTTTCCTCATCCCTTGCCTAACTCTGACAAGCCATAATATATGCAGTTGGATTTTGTGCCAGTTTGTGTGTGCGTGTGTGTGTGCGTGCATATGGTTACATTAAGTGATGCACTTACGGATCAAATTTGTGATTATAAATATAAGTAAAAACTGTCTAAAACTCTGTTCACATGAGCTAGGAGCTGCATATCCATCTAGAGAGCTCCAAAAATTATTTAACTCATCAGGCTGTCCCTATTGACTTTATTTGGCTTAGGGTCAAACTGGCCTGGAAACATAGCCCCTGAAAGTGTCACTCTTACAATAACTCAGTAGGTTGACAGAATATTCGAGTCATCTGAGGGGTCTCTTGGTCATTTCCGTCAGTAAGATGTTCCCTTACCAGTCTTTCCTATCCTTTCTGTCCTTGAGAAACACAATTCTCACTTTTATTTTGCTAAGCAATTTGACTCTCCACATTTTATTTAGCTTTAGAATCAACTTTGCATATGAAAATAGTCATTATGGTGCAGCTAACCAGTGAGAGGAAGCTTAAAACATCCATTTCTTTCTCCCCAAACAGGAAAAATAATTATAGAAATATATTTCCTTTCCAAGGTGAAATATGCCAGTTTCCTTAGAATGCAGGCACAGTTACACCAACTCTAGTTTTGATGTCATTTTTGCTATTACGAATGCACATAGTTATATTCTATCATGTATTCATATGATATGCATAAGAAACAGTACAGTATGGCACATGAGAGCATGAACTCCCTTTGAACCTTGGCTCAGCCACTTCCTTGCTTTATGACCTTGGCAAACTATTTAATCTCTCTGAAGTACAGTCTCAGGTTCCTCATCTATAAGAAAAGAAAAATAATTCTGAGCTCATAGTGTTATGTTGAGGGGGTGCCTGGCATTCATAGTAAGCACTCAGTAACTGTTATTATCATTGTTTAATTTTTAATTTTTGTGATTACATAGTAGGTGTATATATTATGGGTAACATGAAATATTTTGATACTGGCATGCAATGTGTAACAATCACATCAGGGGAAAAGGGTATCTGTCACCTCAAGGACTTAACCTTTATATTTCACAGAATCCAATTATACTCTGTTACCTATTCTAAAGTATACAATTAAATTATTTTTTACTGTAGTCACCCTGTTGTGCTAGCAAATACTAGATCTTACTTATTATTTCAAAATATATTTTGTACACATTAATTATTCCTCTTTCCCCCCAACCCCTGAACTACTCTTCTCAGCCTCTGGTAAACATCTTTCTACTCATTAACTCCATGAATTTTATCGTTTTGATTTTTCGTTCCCAGAAATAAGTGAGAACATACAATGTTTGTCTTTGCATGCCTGGCTTATTTCACTTAATGTCCCCAAGTTCAATCCATGTGATTGCAAATGAGAGAATCTCATTTTTTTTTAATGGCTGAATAGTACGTCATTGTGTAAATGTACCACATTTCCTTTACCCATTGTATTAGTTCATTCTCACATTGCTATTAAGAAATGCCTGAGACTGGGTAATTTATAAATAAAAGAGGTTTAATAGGTCCACAATTCTGTAGGCTGCATGGGAAGGTTAGTGGCTTTGGCTTTTGGAGAAACCTCAAGAGGCTTCCAGTCATGGTAGACAGTGAACGGGGAGCAGGCATCTTACATGGCAGGAGCAGGAACAAGAGGGTGAGAGGGGAGGTGCCACACACTTTTAAATGACCAGATTTTGTGATAGCTCACTCACTTTGACAAGGACAGTACCAATGGGATGGCACTAAACCATTCATGAGAAAATTGAACACGATTCAATCACCTCCCACCAGGCCCCACCTCCAACCTTGCAAATTACAATTTGACATGAGATTTGGTGAAGACACAGATGCAAACGACGCCATCCATTTTTTTGTTGATAGACATTTAGGTTGCTTCTAAATCTTTTATTTTTTATTTTCCATTTCAAATGTATTTTGAGATTATAGCATATAAATTTACATTTAACTGTTGTGGATAGTGCTGCGATAAACATGCGAGTGCAGAGATGTATTCGATATACTAATTTCCTTCCTTTTTGGTATGTAGCCAGCAGTGGGATTGCTGGATCATATGGTACCTGTATATTTAGTTTTTTGATGAAACTCCAACTTTTCCATAGTGATTGTACTAGATTACATTCCCACCAACAGTACATGTATGAGGGTTCTCTTGTATCCAAATCCTCTCCAGCATTTGATTGCCTCTTTTTTGGATATAAGCTATTTTAACTGGGATGATATATTATCTCATTGTAGTTTTGATTCATATTTCTCTGATGATCAGTGATGTTGAGGACATTTTCATATGTCTATTGGCCATTTGTATGTCTTCTCTTAGGAAATGTCTCTTCAGATCTTTTAACTATTTTTTTATTGGATTAGCATAATTTTTTCTATAGAATTATTTGAGCTCCTTATGTATTCTGGTCATTAATCCTTGTCAGATGGGCAGCTTGCAAATATTTTCTCCCACTCTGTGTGTTGTCTCTTTGCTTTGCTGATTGTATCTTTTGCTGTGTAGAAGCTTTTTAACTTGAGGTGATCCCATTTGTCCATTTTTCCTTTGGTTGCCTGTGTCCGTGACACATTGCTCAAGAAGTCTTTGCCCATTCAGATGGCTTGGAGAGTTTCTCCAAAGTTTTCTTTTAGTAGTTTCACAGTTTGAAGTCTTAGATTTAGGTCTTTAATTCATTTTGATTTGATTTTTGTATATGGCAAGAGATAGGGGTCTAGGTTTTTTCTCAGGCTTATGGATATCCAGTTTTCCCAGCACTATTTATTGAAGAGACTGTCTTTCCCCAGTGTTTGTTCTTGGCACCTTTGGCAAAAATGAGTTCACCATAGGTGTGTGGATTTGCTTCTGGGTTCTCTATTCTGTTCCATTGGTCTATATGTCTGTTTTTATGCAATTACTATGTTGTTTTGGTTGCTATGACTCTGTAGTATAATTTGAAGTCAGGTAATGTGATTCCTTCAGTTTTGTTCTTTTGCTTAGGATAGTTTTTGTTCTTCTGTGTTTTTTGTGTTTCCATATAAATTTGAGGATTTTTTTTCTTTTCCTGTGAAAACTATCATTGATATTTTTATAGGGATTGCATTGAATCTGTATATTGCTTTGGTTGGTATGAACATTTTAACAATATTGATTCTTCCAATCCATGAATATGGAATAACTTTTCATTTTTGGGGTCCTTTTTAATTGCCGGCATCAATGTGTTACAGTCTTCATTGTATAGATCTTTCACTTTTTTGATTAAATTTATTCCTAGGTATTTTATTTTTTTGTAGTGATTGCTAATGGCATTACCTGCTTGATTTCCTTTTTTTGTTGTTTGCTGTTGGCATATAGAAATTCTACTAATTTTTGTATGGTGATATTTTTATCCTGCAACTTTACTGAATGTATTTATCACTTCTCATCAGTTTTTGGTGGAGCCATTAGGTTTCTCCAAATGTAAGATTATATCCTTTGCAAACAATGATAATTTGACACCCTCCATTCCAATTTGGAGGCCATTTATTTATTTCTCATGTCTGATTGCTCTAGATAGGATTTCCAGTACAATGTTAAAGAGCAGTGGTGACAGTGGGCATGCATGTTGTGTTCCAGATCTTAGAGAAAAGGCTTTCACATGATTTTCCCTATCTAGCATGATAGTAGCTGTGGTTATTTTGTATATGGCTTTCACTTTATTGAGGTATACGCTCCTTCTATGGCCAGTTTTTGAGGGTTTCTATTATAAAAAGATATAGAATTGTATCAAATGCCTTTTTAATATCAATTGAAATGATTATATTGATTTTGTCCTTCATTCTGCGGATATGATGTTCCACATTTATTGATTTGCATATGTTGAACCATCCACGCATCCCTGGGATAAATCCCAGTTGGTCATGATGAATGACCTTTTTAACATGTTGTTAAATTTGGTTTGCTAGTATTTGGCTATTTTCACATCAATATTCCTCAATGATATTGGACTGTAGTTTTCTTTTTTTGATATGTCTTTGTATGATTTTAGTATCAGGATAATAATGGCTTTGTAGAATATGTTTGAAAGTATTCTGCCTTCCTCCATTTTTTTGGAATAGTTTGAGTAAGATTGGTACAATTTGTTCTTAAATGTTTGGTAGAATTCAGCAGGGAAGCCATTGCTTCCTGGGCTTCTCTTTGCTGGAAGCTTTTTTATTATGGCTTTGATCTTGTTACTTGTTATTGATCTGTTCAGGTTTTGAATTTCTTCATGGTTCAATCTTGGTAGATTGTATGTGTCTAGGAATTTGTCCATTTCTTCTAGATTTTCCAATTTATTGTCATGTAGTTGCACATAGTAACCACTAATGATCCTTTAAATTTCTGTGGTATCAGTTATAATGTCTCTGTTTTATCTCTGATTTTATTTATTTGGATACTGTCTGCTTTTCTTCATCTCTCTAAAGGTTTGCTAATTTTGTTTAACATTTTTTAGAAAAAAAAGTTTCACTGATTTTTTTCTATTGTTTTCTTTATTTCAATTTTATTTTTCTCTGATCTTTATTAGTTTTTTCTTCTATTACTTTTTGGGTATGGTTTGTTCTCACTTTTCTAGTTCTTTAAGATGTTGGGTTGTTTATTTGAAGTTCTTCGTTTGTAGTGTAGTCACTTAGAGCTATAAATTTCTCTCAATACTGCTTTCACTTTATCCCATAGGTTTGGGTATGTTATACTGCCATTATCATTTGTTTCAAGAAAAGTTTCAGTTTCCTCCTTAATTTCTTTATTGAACCACTGTTCATTCAGGAACATATTTTTTAATTTCCATGTATTTGTATAGTTTTGAAATTCCTCTTTTATTGACTTTTAGTTTCATCTCATTGTGGTGAAAGAAGATATTTGATTCTTTTATTGTTTTAATACTTGTTTTGTGACCTCACAAATGGTCTCTTCTTGAGAATCATCCGTATGCTGAGCAAAAAAAAAAAAAAAAAAGTGTATTCTGCAGCCATTGGTTAAAATGTTATGTAACTATCTATTTGTTCTATAGTGCAGATTAAGTCTGACATTTCTTTGCTGATTTTCTATCTGGAAGATCTTTGTTGATTTTCTGTCTGGAAGATCTTTCCAAAGCTGAAAGTGGAGTGTTGAAGTTTTAAGCTATTATTGTATTTGGTTTATCTCTCTCTTTAGCTCTAACAATATTTGTTTTGTATATCTAGTTGCTTCAATGTTAGGTGCATATATATTTAAAATCATTATATGTCCTTGCTAAATTGTCCCCTTTATCATTATATAGTGGCCTTCTTAGTGTCTTCCTATAGTTTGTCTTGAAATCTACTTTTTCTGATATAAGTAGAGCTACTCTTGCTCTATTTTGGTTTTCCTTGAAATGGAATATCTCTTTCCATACCTTTATTTTAATCTGTATGTGTCTTTATAGGTGAAATGTGTTTCTTGTAGGCAACAAATTGTTGGGTCTTGTTATTTAATTCATTATGCCCCTGTATGTATTCTGATTGAAGAGCTTAGTCAATTTACATTTAATGTTGCTGTCGATTACTAAGTACTTAATCCTGCCATTTTGTTATTTGTTTTCTGGTCTTTTGTGATCATCTCTGAGGCTTGCACATACTATTTTATAACCCATTGTCAGCTGATAACATCTTAACACTGTTTGTATAAACAAATGAACAAGCAAAAATAAAAATAAAAAAATAAAAACTCTGGATCTTAAATTTATCCCCTGACTCTTTAACTCTTTTTTGTTTTTATTTATGTCTTATTGTATTGTCTATGTCTTGGAAAGTTGTTGTAGTTTTTATTTTTGATTGGTTCATTGTTTAGTCTTTCTACTCTAAGATATGAGTAATTTACATTACACAGTTGCAGTGTTATAATATTCTGTGTTTTTCTGTGTACTTACTAAGACCAGTGAGTTTTTCACCTTCCGATGATATCTTGTTGGGTATAGTTTGCTCTCAATTTTACAGTTCTTTAAGATGCATTGTTAGGTTGTTTATTTGAAGTTCTTCTTTTATAGTGTAGGCACATAGAGCTATAAACTTCCCTCAGTACTGCTTTCACTTTATCCCATAAGTTTAGGTATGTTATACTTTCATTATCATTTGTTTCAAGAAAATATGTTTCTTGAATTTGCTGATTGTTAACTCCCTTTTCTTTCTAGTTGACGTACTTTCTTTTAGGACAGGTCTAGTGTTGATAAAATCCCTCAGCTTTTGTTTGCTGGGAAAGTCTTTATTTCTCATTCATGTTTGAAGTATAGTTTTGCCAGATATACTATTCTAATGTAAACTTTTTTTTTTTCCTTCAGCACTTTAAATACGTCATGCCACTCTCTCCTGGTCTGTAAGGTTTCCAGTGAAAAGTCTGCTGCCAGACATATTGGAGCATCACTGTATGTTTTTCCTTCCTTTTTTCTAGCTACTTTTAGGATTCTTTATTTTTGACCTATGGGAGTTTCATTTGTAAATGCCTTGACATGGTATTTTTTTTTTTGCTAAATCATTTTGATGTTCTATAATTTACTTGTATTTGGATATTGATATATTTGCCTAGGTTTGGGAAGTTCTCTGTTATTATCACTTTGAATAATCTTTCTACTCCTATCTCTTCTACCTCCTCTTTCAGGCCAAAAACTCTTAGATTTGCACCTTTAGTGCTATCTTCCTAGATTCTGTTGGCATGCTTCACATTTTTATTCTTTTTTCTTTTGTGTCCTCCAACTATGAATTTTCTAAATAGCTTTCTTCAGGCTCACTTTTTTTTCTACATGATCAATTCTGCACATTAAAAGACTCTGGTACATTCTTTAGTATGTCAATTGCAATTTTCAGTTCAAGAATTTCTGCTTTATTTCTTTCAATCTTTTGTTAAATACACCTGATAGAATTTTGAATACCTTCTCTCTGTTATTTTGAATTTCCTTGTGTTTCCTCAACCGAACTATTTTGAATTACCTGTCATATATCTTTGTTTCTCCAGGATTGGTCCTTTTGCCTTATTTGGTTCATTTGGTGAGGTAATGCGTTCCTGCATGGTCTTTTTTTTTTCTTCAACTTTTAAGTTCAGGGGTACATGTGCATAATGTGCAGGTTTGTTATGTAGGTAAATGTATGCCATGGTCATTTGCTGGACAAATCATTCCATCACCTAGGTAGTAAAGCTAGCATCCATAAGCTATTCTTCCTTATGCTCTACCTCCCTCTACCCAACCCTGACAGACCCCAGTGTATGTCATTCCCCCCAGTGTGTCCACATGTTCTTTTCATTCAGCTCCCACTTATAAGCAAGAACATGCAGTGTTTGGTTTTCTGTTCCTGTATTAGTTTACTGAGAATAATGTCTTTCAACTCCATCCATGTTGCTGCAAAGGACATGATCACATTTCTTTTTATGGCTACATAGTATTCCATCATGGATATGTACCACATTTTCTTTGTCCAGTCTATCATTGATGAGCATTTAGGTTGATTCCATGTCTTTACGATTGTGAATAGTGCTGCAATGAACATACATGTGCATGTATCTTTATAATAGAATGATTTATATTCCCTCGGGTATATACCAAGTAATAGGATTGCTGGTCAAATCATATTTTTGCCTCTAGGTCTTCCAGGAATTGCCACAGTCTTCCACAATGGTTGAACAAATTTATACTTCCACCAACAGTATAAAAGCATTTCTTTTTTTTCCCCACAACTTCACTAACATCTGCTGTTTTTTGACTTTTTATTAATAGCCATTCTGACAGGCATGAGATAATATCCCATTGTGGTTTTGATTTGCATTTCTGTAATGATCAGTGATGTTGACCTTTTTTCCATATTCTTGTTGGCCTCATGTGTGTCTTCTTTTGAGAAGTGTCTGTTCATGGCGTTTGCTCATATTTTAATGGGGTTGTTTTTTGCTTGTAAATTTGCTTAAGTTTCTTGTAGACTCTGGATAATAGACCTTTGTCAGATGGATCAATTGTGAAATATTTCTTCCATTCTGTCAGTTGTCTGTTCACTCAGATGATAGTTTCTTTTGCTGTGCAGAAAGTCTTTTGTTTAATTAGATCCCACTTGTCAATTTTGGCTTTTGTTGCAATTGCTTTTGGCATTTTTGTCATAAAATCTTTGCCATGCCTATGCCCTGAATGGTATTGCCTAGATTTTCTTCTAGAGTTTTTATAGTTTTGGGTTTTACATTTGTCTTTACTCTATCTTGAGTTAATTTTTGTATATGGTGTAAGGAAGGGGCCCAGTTTCAATTTTCTGCATACGGCTGGCAAGTTCTCTTAACATTGTTTATTAAATAGAGAATCCTGTCCTCATTGCTTGTTTTTTTTTTCAGGTTTGTCAAAAAATAGATAGTTGTAGGGGTGTGGTCTCATTCCTGAGTTCTCTATTCTGTTCTATTAGTCTATGCATCTGTTCTTGTACCAGTACCATGCTGTTTTAGTTATTGTAGCCTTGTAGTATAGTTTGAAGCCAGGTAGTGTGATACTTCCAGTTTTGTTCTTTTTGTTTAGAACTACCTTGGCTATTGGGGCTCTCTTTTGGTTCCATGGGAATTTTAAAATAGTTTTTTTTCTAATTCTGTGAAGAATGTCAATGGTAGCTTAATGGGAATAGCATTGAATCTATAAATTTCTTTGGACAGTATGGCCATTTTCACTATATTGATTTTTTTCTATCCATGAGCATGAAATGTTTTTCCACTTGTTTGTGTCTTCTCTGATTTCTTTGAGCAGTGGTTTGTAGTTCTCCTTGAAGATGTCCCCCACTTCCCTTGTAAGCTGTATTTCTAGGTATTTTATCCTTTTTGTAGCAGTTGTGAATGGGGAGTTCATTAATGATTTTGCTCTCAGCTTGCCTGTTGTTGATGTGTAGGAATGCTAGAAAACTTGCACATTGATTTTGCATCCTGATACTTTGCTGAATTTGCTGATTATCTTTAGAAGCTTTGGGGCTGAGACAATGGGGTTTTCTAGGTATAGGATTATGTTATCTGCAAACAAAGATAATTTCTCTTCTGTTTTTCCTATTTGAACACCATTTATTTCTTTCTCTTGCCTGATTGCCCTGGCCAGAACTTCCAATACTATGTTGAATAGGAGTGGTGAGAGACGGCATCCTTGTCTTTTGATGGTTTTCAATGGAATGCTTTCAGCTTTTGCCCATTCAGTATTATATTGGTTGTGGGTTTGTCATAAATGGCTCTTATTATTTTGAGGTATGTGCCTTCAATTCCTAGTTTATTGAGAGTTTCTAACATGATGGCATGTTGAATTTTATTTAAGGTCTTCTTTGTATCTATTGAGATAATCATGTGGTTTTTGGTTTTGGTTCTGTTTATTTGATGAATCATGTTTATTTATTTGCATATGTTGAACCCATCTTGCCTCCTGAGGATGAAGCCAATTTAATTATTGTGGATAAGCTTTTGGATGTGCTGCTGGATTTGGTTTGCCATTATTTTGTTGAGGATTTTTGCATCAATGTTCATCAAGGTTACTGGTCTGCAGTTTTCTTTTTTTGTTATATCTTTGACAGGTTTTGGTATCAGGATGATCCTGGCCTCATAGAACAGGTTAGGAAGGAGTCTCTCCTTTTCAATTTTTTGGAATAGTTTCAGTAGAAATTGTACCTGATCTTTTTTGTACCTCTGGTAGAATTCAGCTGTTAATCCATCTGGTCCTGGATTTTTTCTTCTTGGTAGGCTACTTATTACTGTCTCAATTTCAGAACTCATTATTGGTTTACCCAAGAATTCAATTTCTTCTTGGTTCAACCTTAGGAGGGTATATGTGTCCTGGAATTTATTCATTTCTTCTGTATTTTTTAGTTTATGTGCATAGAGGTGTACATAATATTCTTTGATGGTTGTTTGTAATTCTGTGGTGTCAATGGTGGTATTCCCCTTATCATTTCGGATCACATTTATTTGATTCTTCTGTCTTTCTTTCTCTATGAGTCTAGCTAGCAGTCTATCTATGTTTTTTAATTTCTCCAAAAGACCAGATCATGGATTCATTGACTTTTTCAAAGGTTTTTCATGTTTTCTATCTCTTTCAGTTCAGCTCTAATTTTGGTCATTTTTTTGTCTTCTGCTAGCCCTGGGGTTCATTTGCTCTTAGTTCTCTAGTTCTTTTAATTGTGATGTTAGTTTATTAACTTTTGATCTTTCTAGCTTTTTGGTGTGGACATTTTTGTGCTATAAATTTCCCTGTTAACACTGCTTTAGCTGCATCTCAGAGATTCTGGTACAATGTCTCTTTGTTCTCATTTGTTTCAAAAAACTTCTTGATTTTTGCTTTAATTTCATCATTTACCCAAAAGTCATTCAGGAGAAGGTTACTCAATTTCCATGTAATTGTTTGGCTTTGAGTGAATTTCTTAATCTTGATTTCTTAGTCTTGAATTTGATTGTGCTGTGGTCCAAGAGACTCTTTGTTATGATTTTAGTTATTTTACATTTGTTAAGGAGTGTTTTACTTCTGATTATTTGATCAATTTTAGAGTAAGTGCCATGTAGTGATGAGAAGAATGTACATTCTGTTGTTTCAAGGTGGAGAGTTATGTAGATTCCTATCAGGTTCATTTGATCCTGTGCTGAGTTCAGGTTCTAAATATCTTTGTTAATTTTCTGCCTTGATGATCTGTCTAATGTTGTCAGTGGGGTGTTAAAGTTTCCCCCTCTTATTTTGTGGGAGTATAAGTCTCTTCGAAGATCTCTAAAAACTTGCTTTATAAATCTGGGTGCTCCCGTGTTGGGTGAATATATATTTAGGATAGTTTGTTCTTCTTGTTGAACATTTTACCATTATGTTACTATAATGCCCTTATTTGTCTTTTTTTGATCTTTGCTGGTTTGAAGTCTGTTTTATGAGAACCTAGGATTGAAACCCCTGCTTTTTTTTTCTGTTTTCCATTTCCTTGAGAGATTTTTGTTCATCCCTTTATTTTGAGTCTATGTGTGTCTTTGCTTGTGAGATAGGTCTCTTAAAGACAGCATAAAAATAGATCTTGGTTCTTTATCCATCTTGCCACTCTGTTTTTTGACCAGGGCATTTAGCTCATTTACATTTAAGGTTAGCATTGTTATATGTGAATTTGATCCTGTCATCATAATGCTAGCTGGTTATTTTGCAGACTTGTTTATGTGGTTGCCTCATAGTGTAACTTGTCTGTGTACTTCAGTGTGTTTTTGTTGTGGCTGGTAATAGTTTTTTCTTTCCATATTTAGCACTTCCTTCAAAGGCTCTTGCAAAGTAGGCCTGGTTGTGATGAATTTCCTCATCATTTGCTTGTCTGAAAAGGGTCTTATTTCTCATTCGCTTTTGAAGTTTAGTTTGGCCAGATATGAAATTAAGGGTTGGAAATTCATTTCTTTAATAATGTCAAATATTGGCCCCCAGTTTCTTCTGGCCTGTAGGGTTTCTGCTGAGAGGTCCACTGTTAGTCTGATGGAATTCCCTTTGTAGATGACCTGACCTTTCTCTCTGGTTGCCCTTAACATTTTTTCTTTCATTTTGACCTTGGATAATCTGATTATTACGTGTTTTGGGGTTGATCTTCTTGTTTAGTATATTACTGGTGTTCTCTGCAGTTTCTGAATTTGAATGTTGGCCCACTTTTCTAGGTTGAGGAAGTTTTCCTGGATGATAGCCTGAAGTATGTTTTCTAACTTGGTTCCATTCTCCCCATCTCTTTCAGGTACCCCAATCAGTCATAGGTTCAATCTCTTTACATAATCCCATATTTCTCAGAGGTTTTGCTCATTCCTTTTTATTTGTTTTTCTCTATTTTTGTATGCCTGTCTCATTTCAAATAGTTTTCAAGCTCTGAGAGTCTTTTCCCTGCTTGTTCTATTCTGCTACTGATACTTGTGATTGCATTGTGAAGTTCTCGTGTTATGTTTTTCAGCTTCTTCTGGTTAGTTATGTTCCTCTCCAAACTGGAAAATGCTATGGTTCTGGCAGGCTTGTAAAGGTGCTGTGCTGATGGTCTTAGACAAGATCTGGAATAATTATTTGGATTATCAGACAGAGATTCTCATTCTTTTTCTGTTACTTTCTCTCAAACAAATGGAGTCTCTCTCTCTCTGTGTTCTTAGCTGCCTGGAGTTGGCAGTGGAGTGACACAAGCACCCCTATGGCTACTGCCACTAGGGCGGCACTACATCAGATCTGAAGACAGCACAGTGCTGGGTCTCACCCATGGCCTGCTGCAACCACTCCTGGCTACTGCCTAT
Organism: Homo sapiens; assembly: GCF_000001405.40. Classification (NCBI taxonomy): domain Eukaryota; kingdom Metazoa; phylum Chordata; class Mammalia; order Primates; family Hominidae; genus Homo; species Homo sapiens. The sequence continues at coordinate 88,625,640 of NC_000023.11, read as the reverse complement.
ATTTGCTCGAGGCACTGGTGTTCTGCAATCCACAGATGGTGAAGCCAGTCAGGACTGTGTCATTCCCTTCAGAGCGGCAAGTTTCCCCTGGCCTGAAGGGTCCAGAGGTGCTGTCTTGGTCCAGGGACTATAATCAAACAAACAAACAAACAAACAAAACCCTTAGAATTTGACATAGTGTTTTATAGTACTGCAGCTGAGCTGGCACTGAAATCACAAGACAGTTTTTTTTCCATTCTTTTCTCACCTTTTCAAGGGCAGAAGAACCTCACCCAATGGCCACCTCCACCACAGGCACACAGGGAGTATTACCAGGCTACCAGCAACGTCCATTTAAGGCCCAAGGTCTCTTCTATAAGCTCATGATGAATTATACAAGCCTTGGAACTTACCCTTCTGTGTGGTGAAATCCCTTCTCACCCAGGGCATGTCCAGAAATTCCACTCAAGTGGCAAAGCCTGAAATTGGGGACCCCGAGAACCCACCCACTGTGGCAGAGCTGGTACCTAAAGTGCAAGACAAAGTCCCCTTTACTTTTCCCTCTTCTTTTCTCAAGCAGAAGGAATCTCTCTTCATAGCCATGACAGCTGGGAATATGCTAATTCCCACCTGAAGCCAGAAAGTTTCAAAGTGTCACCTGAGGCCTACTATGTACTACCTGAGTATTGCCACTGGTTATTCAGGGACTAACGGCTCTTCAGATAGAAGATAATACATTCTGACAAGACTGACTCCTTCCCTTCAAGTTAAGGGGTTCCCATCTGGCCCAATGTGTGTCTAGAAATGTCATCTGAGCGCTAGGGCCTGAAATAGCATCCTTGTAACTCTGACTGGTGCCTTATCCTACTGTGGCTGAGCTGGTATCCAAGATGCTAGACAAATGTCATTGTTACACTTTCCTCTCCTCCCCTCGAGAGGAAGAAAGGGGTCTTTTTGAAGCCATGAGCTATTCAGCCTGGTGTTATTGGGGTGATGAAACCTGCACTCCTCTAGCCACACTGGCTTGTGTCTCAGTAGGTCATGTGCCCCACTTCCCACCCCAGTTTACTGGCTCTGGGCCCATTTCAGCACTAGGACTCTTCTAGGAGTAGTAATCCTTGTGGCCTGAACTGCCTTTCAAATTTATTTAGGGCCCAGGAGCACTCTAGCTCGAGGTGGCAAGGCTTGCAGGAACTCCAGTTTCGACTGCTGGGATGGGTGACTCCTCCCTGGCTGGGGCTGCTTTAAATACTCCCTCCGTGGGTGGGTGACAGCTGAGTTCAGTCCGGTTTTGTTTTCTGCTATAACAGGGCAGCACTAAGTTCGACGTACTATCTCTCAGTTGCTGCACTCTAATTTCCCACGTGCACAGATTCTCTTTGCATGCTGCATGAAAATTGGGAAGGAGTGGCATTGACAAATCAAGACTGTTTTCTCTACTTCTTCAGTGCTTTTTTCAGTGATATGAACTTCAAACCAGGTACTCTGAGTGCTCACCTAATATTTGGTTCTTCTGAAAGTCCTTTTTTGTGTAGACAGTTGTTAAATTGTTGCCCTTGCCAGGGGGACAATTGATGGAACGTTCTATTCTGCCATCTTTCTTGACCTGTCTCCTATTATTATTTTTGACATTGCAGTCTGTGTTCTTCAAGAACTCTAGGTTTGGGTGCCAGGCTGACAGATTAAAATATTGTTTCTTCCTTGAAGTTTATGTATGACTTTGGTTGATTTCTTAACCCCTTTGTCCCTGAGTCTCCTGTAAATAGGAATAACTGTAAATAGGAATAATAAATTGTTTTGTTTTCATCTAATAGATGTTGTGTATAACATATCAAATTGTTTTTCTAATTTTATATTTACTATTATAAACTTTATAACAAGATATGAGGTTCATTTCTAATGCATTTATGAACATTAATGATGAAATGTTTTAAAATGTCTGATTAATGGGTTTACTTTCCATCCTTACCCTTGATTTTATCTGAGTTTATTATTTAACTGCTACATATTATTATTTTTGTTTTTTGTTTTATTTTATGCATTTTTTTAAATACCATAATTCTACTTTTGAACACACAGAGGTATATATAAAGTTCAAATAAACCAAAAAATAAAAGATGGGTAGGCTTTAACAGGATATCTTTAAATAAAAGTTTGCTTTCTACTTTCTCTTGGAAATGACATAATGTATTTTTAATGAACAGGTGAGAACAAGGAGAAGAATAATTTTGGAGTGAAATCTAGTCTTTTCTTGTTTTCTCACAATGAAAATTAGTGAGTTGTACCCTCTTTTCACAAACCATGTTTTATTTTTACAAGAGTAGAGAAGCAACATAAAAGCAAGATAAATTCTAATTTATTAGACATATATTTAGTAATTTTTTCATATGTAATTTATTTCCACTATTTATGAGATAATTTAAACCATACCTGTTGTGTGTGGCTGACGTATGGCTCACTGGGGAGGTTATTTCTTCTTTTTTTATTTGAAACGGAGTCTTACTCTGTAGCCCAGGCTGGCTCCGGCTTCAAGCAATTCTCCTGTCTCAGCCTTCCGTGTAGTTGGGACTACAGGTGCACACCACCACGCCCTGCTAATTTTTATATTTTTAGTAGAAACGGGGTTTCACCATATTGGTTAGGCTGGTCTCGAACTCCTGACCTCAGGTGATCCACCCGCCTCGGCCTCCCGAAGTGCTGGGATTATAGGCATGAACCACGGCGCCCAGCCCTATTTCTTCTTAAAGATTACCTCGAGGTAATTAGAGATCTATTTAGAATAAGTAAAACTTATTTTTGCTGCATTTAAAACATTTTTTTCTAGAGTAGTGTTTCTTCTTTTTCCTTCTAACTCTCCTAGCAATGTTTAAGTTTAAATGGTGTTCGAAAATAACTCTTCGAAGATTAATTTTTTAAAAAGTGACTGAAAATATTATGGCATTTAAAAATTACTACTATAATAGACTCATTATATAAGTAGAACATGGCTGGGTGTAGTGGCTTATGTCTGTAATCCTAGCACTTTGGGAGGCCAACATGGGTAGATCATCTGAGATCAGGAGTTCAAGACCAGCCTGGCCAACATTGTGATACCCCGACTCTACTAAAAATACAAGAATTAGCTAGGCATGGTTGTGGGCGCCTGTAATCCCAGCTACTCGGGAGGCTGAGGCAGGAGAATCGCTTGAACCCAGGAGGTGGAGGTTGCAGTGAGCCTAGATTGTGCCACTGCACTCCAGCCTGGGCGACAAGAGTGAAACTGTCTCATAAATAAATAAATAAATAAAAGGTAGAACATTTCCAGGTGATTTTCCTCCTAATATTTTCCTATCTATAATTTTTTCTGAAATACATTAAAGGTTGAGCTGCCACTTGCTGGGGTAAAAGTCTTTAGTGCTCTGTCTCTAAGATCAATTCCTATATGTTACCACTTTTTATTTTAATATTTCTGTGCTGAATAATAGTAAATAATTTGTTTCTATATTATGGAATTTATGTACTAATGATGCTTTTCATTTTCCTAAGGTATAATTTAAAAACAATTCACTGATTTTTCTCTATAGTGTTATTTCATTCCTAATAATAATTGTTTTGAAAGCTATTTTCACATCTTTATTTCATACTGAATATGAATAATGAATAAAGCAATAAGAGGAAAATTAGAAGTGATTGATATTAACTTAGTGCAGAAATAAAGGCATAGCTTTTTTAAATAAAATTTTAAATTGAAATAAAATGTATGCAGCAAAAAGTACCATTTTAAAATTAAAATTTAGTAGTTTTTTAGTATACTCAAAATGTTGTGGAAACAGCCCCATTATCAGATCCCAAAACATTACCATCACTCCATAAAGAAACTCCACACATGTTAGAAATCAATCTCAATATGCATATTTCCCCTGTGTGCTGTCCTTATAGATTTGTCTATTCTGGACTTTTCATAAAAACAAAAGCATACAATACATGAAACTTTGTTTCTGACTCCTTTTATTTACCATAATGGTTAAAAGCTTCATTCACATTATAGAATAGATAAGTATTTAATAGATTTATTTTCATTGTGATAAAATACATATAACATAAAAGTTGCCATTTTAATCATTTTTAACTGTGAAATGGAGAGGCATTATTAACACTCACAATGCTGAGCAGCTGTCACCACTATCTATTTTCAGTCCTTAGTTTCATATCTCATTTTAGACGTTTGAGTCTACTCTCTTTTTGTAAGTCACTTTCCTAAAGGTTTATCAACTTTGCTGACGCTTTTGAAGAGCTCTTAGTTTCATTGATTTTTTCTATTGTTTTTCTATTCTCCATTTTATTTATCTACATTCTAATCTTTATTATTTTCTTACTTCTGTTAATGTTGGGTTTGGTTTGTTTGTTTTTTTTCTAATTGCTTAAGGTATATAATCAGATTACTAATTTAAGGATTTTTCTCTTTTTGTCTTTTTCTATAATTGGCACCTAATAATTGGTTGTATTTATGGGATATAGAGTGATAATTTAATAGATATATACAATGTGGAATAACCGAATCAGGATAATTAGTATATCTATCACCCACAACATTTATCATTTATCTGTGCTGTAAACATTCAAAATAATTTTTTAGCTCTTCGAAAAACTACAATTAATTATAATTAACTGTTGTCACTCTGCAGTGCCACCTAACATTAAAACTTATTCCTTCCATGTAGCTGTAATTTTCTATCTGTTAACTAAATATTCCCTATCCTCCCCTCCACTTCCCCTTCCTAGCCTGTAACAACCACAATTTTATACTCTCTATGAGAGTAAAATTGTACTTTCTCTCAACTTGTTTATTAGCTCCCGCATATGAGGAACGATATGTGGTATTTATCTTTATGTACCTGACTTATTTCACTTAACATAGTATACTCAAGGCTCATCTATGTTTCTGTGAATGACAGCATTTTATTCTTTTTTAACCCTGAACAAAAATGGATTGTGTATGTGTACTACCTTTATTTTATCTATTTATCTGTTGATTAATATTGAAGATAATTTTATATCTTGGCTATTGTGAATAATGCTGCAATAAACATGAGAGTGCACATATCTTTTTGATATACTGATTACCTTTTCTCTAGATAAACATCCACTAGTGGAATTGCTGGATTATATGGTAGTTGTATTTTTACAGTTTTGAGATACCTTCATACTGTTTTCCATAATGGCTATACTAATTTCTGATTATAACAACAATGTATAAAAGATCCATTTTCTCCACATAATCACCAGCATGTTATCTTTTCTCTGATTGAAAATAGGCATTTTAACTCTAGTGAAATATCTCATCATGGTTTTGAATTGTATTTTCATGATGATTAGTGATGTTGAGCATTTTTAAAACAATTTCATTTATTATTGTTACATAGTAGATGTGAATATTTTCAACATATATAATAATTTAATATTTATATAATTTATAGCGAGCAATGTAATTAGAATATTCATCAACTTAAATATTTGTCTTTTATTTATGCGAGAAACATTTAAATTATTATTTTCTAGCTATTTTTGAAATATACAATAGATTATTATAAACTATAATTACCTTACTGATTTATCAAACACTACGTATTATTTTTTCTATCAAACTATATAATTGTGCCCATTAATCAACCTCTTTTTGTTGTCCCATTCCTTTCCTTTCTCAGTCTCTGATAACCACAATCTACTCTGTGAGATTCACTTTTTTAGCTCCCACATGAGTGAGAACATGCAGTATTTGTCTTTCTGTGCCTGACTTATGTCACTTAACGTAATGACCTCTAGTTCCATCTATGTTCCTTCAAATGACAAAAATTCATTCTTTTCATGACTGAATAATATTTCACTGTGTATATCTATCCCATTTTTGTTCTCCATTCTGGACATTTAGGTTGATTCTATATTTTGGCTATTGTGCTGCAATAAACATGGAAATGCATATATCTATTTTCTATATTGATTTTTTTCTCTTGTATATACACCCAGTGGTGGAATTGCTGGATCATGTGGTAGTTCTATTTTTAGTTATTTTGGGGGGAAGCTCCATATGGTTTTCCATAGTGGATATGCTATTTTATATTTTCACCAACAGGGTGTAAGTGTTCCTCTTTCTTCACACCCTTGCCACCATCTTTAATTGCCTGTGGTTTTGACAACAGGCATTTTAACTGGGATGAGATGCCAGCTCACTGACTGTGATTTTGGTTAACATTTATATGATGATTACTGATGTTGAGCATTGTTTCATGTACTTATTGGCTATTCGTGTGTCTTCTTTTGAGAAATGTATATTCAGATCCTTTGTTCCGTTTTTTTTTTTGTTTTTTTTTTGAGATGGAGTCTAGCTCTATTGCCCAGGCTGGTGCGATCTTGGCTCACTGCAACCTCCTCCTCCAGGGTTCAAGCGATTATCCTGCCTCAGACTCCCGAGGAGCTGGGACTACAGGTGCGTGCCACCACGCCCAGCTAATGTTTTGTATTTTTAGTAGAGATGGGGTTTCATCGTGTTGGCCTGGATTGTCTCTATCTCCTGACCTCATGATCCACCTGCCTAGGCCTCCCAAAGTGCTGAGATTACAGGAGTGAGCCACCACACCCAGCCCCTTTGTTCATTTTTAATCCAATTATTTGGGTTTTAATTTTTGCTGTTGAGTTGTTTAAGCTCCTTATATGCTCTGATTATTAATCCGTTGTCAGATGAATAGTTTGCAAATATTTTCTCCTCTTCTCTTGGTCCTCTTTTCACTTTATTGATTATTTCTTTTGTTGTACAGTTTCTTTTTTAGCTTTATGTGATCCCCTTTGTCTATTTTAGCTTTGCTTGCCTGAGGTTTTGAAATCTTATAGTAAAAAATTTTGCCCAGAGCAATGTCCTATATTGTTTTCCTAATGTTTCCTTCTAGTAGTTTCATAGTTTCAGGTCTTACATGCAAGTCATTAATCCATATTAATTTGATTTTTGTGTATGATGAGAGATAGGGATCTAGTTTCATATTTTGCATATGAATATCCAATTTTCCCAGAACCATTTATTGAAGAGCCTGTTCTTTCACTATTGTATGTTTGTGGCACGTTTATCAAAAATGAGTTGGCTGTAAATACGTGGATTTATATGTGTGTCCTTTATTCAGTTTTATTGGTCTGTGTGTCTGTTTTTATGTGAGTACTATGCTGATTTGGTTATTATAGCTTTGAAGTGTGTTTTGAAGTCAGGTAGCATGATGTCTCCAGCTTTGTTCTTTTTGCTCATGATTGCTTTGGCTATCAGGGTCTTTTGTGGTCCCATATAAATTTTATGATTTTTTGTCTATTTCTGTGAAGAATGTCATGTAGATTATGTATCTATGTGATATACATAGGAAACAGGATGGTGTGGTACCTGAGAGCATGAACTCTCTTTGAGCCTCAGCTCAGCCACTTTCTTGCTTTATAACCTTGGCAAACTATTTAATCTCTCTGAGGTACATTCTCAATTTCCTCATCTATAAGAAAGAGAAAATAATTCAGATTATTTTTGTGGGACTATATATTTTGTGGTACCACATAAATTTTAATATTTTTTCTATTTCTATGAAGAATGTCATTAGTATTTTGATAGAGATTGCATTAGATCTGCAAATTGCTTTAAATAAAATTATAATTTTAACAATATGAATTCTTCAATTTCAAAATATGAAGTGTCTTTTTATGTTTTTATATCATTTTAAATTTCTTTCATTAGTGTTGTATAGTATTCCTGGTACACATATTTTACTTCTTTGGTTAAATGGATGCCTAGACATTTTATATTTCTTGTAGCTGTTGGAAATTGGATTGCTTTCTTGATATTTTTTTCAGATTTTTTGCTCTTGGCTCATATAAATGCTACTGATTTTGCATACTTTTGTATTCTTTAATTTTATTGATTTTATTTATCTACTTTAATAGTTATTTTGGTAGGCCGTGCATGGTGGCTCACGCTTGTAATCCTAGCACTTTGGGAGGCTGAGATGGGTGATCACTTGAGGCCAGAAGTTTGAGAACAGTCTGGCCATAATGGTGAAACTCCGTCTCTACTAAAAATACAAAAATTAACTGGGCATGGTGGCACATGCCTGTAGTCCCAGCTACACCTGGAAAGCTGAGGCATGAGAATCACTTGAACCCAGGATGTGTATGTTGCAGTGAGCCAAGATTGTGCCACTGGACTCCAGCCTGGGTGACAGAGACCCTTTCTCCAAAAAAAAAAAAAAAAAAGAAAAGAAAAAAAGAAAAAAAAGTTATTTTGTTGCAGTCTACAGGTTTTTCCAAGTGTTAGGATCCTGGCATCTGCAAACAAGACTAATTTGGCTTCTTTCTTTCCAATTTGAATGTCTTTCTTTATCTTGCCTTATTGCTCTAACCTGAATTTTCAGTTATAATGTTGAATGAAAGTGAGAGAAGTGGGCATATTTGACTTGTTCAAGATCTTAGAAAAATCTCTTTCAATTTTTTTCTGTTTTGTATGATGTTGGGTGTGGGTTTGCCATATCTGATTCTTGTTATTTTGAGGTTTTTTTTTTTTTTTAAGACTTAGTTCATTGAGGGTTTTAATCATAATAGAATGCTGAATTTCATTGAATAATTTTTGAGCATGTATTGAAATAATCATAGGGTTTTTTTCTTTAGTTCTATTAACATAATATATCCCATTTACTAATTTGCATGTGTTGAATCATCCTGAAGTCACTAGGATGAATCCTACTGGATCTTGGCAAATTATCTTTTTAATTTGTTGAATTTGGTTTGCTAGTATTTTGTTGAGGAATTATGCATATGTTCATCTCTTATGTCTTTCTCTGGTTATTGTATCAAGATAATGGTAGCCTTTTGGAATGAGTTTAGACCTTTTCCTTCTTCAAATTTTTGATGAGCTAGAGTAGAATTGTGACTATTTCTTCTTCAAAAGTTTTGGAGAATGTAAGAGTATAGCTGTCAATTCTTGGATCTTTAAACATTTTTGATGGGAGAATCTTTATTATGGCATCAACCCCATTACTCATTATTGGTTTGTTGAGGTTTTCATGGTTCAATCTTGGTAGGCTATAGGAGTCCAGGAATTTATCCATTCCTTCTAGGATTTTCAATTTGTTGGCATATAATTGTTTGTAATTGTCTCTAAAGTTTCTTTGTATTTCTGCGCTCCCAAATGTCATAGCTTCTTTTTTATTGGTGATTTTTATATGTTAGGTAGGGTCTTCCCTCTTTTTTCTAAGTCTAGCTAAAGGTTCATAGATTTTATCCTTAGAAAGCAACTTTTCATATCATTGATCTGTATTTTTTGTCAAAATTTTATTTCTGCTCTAATATTTATTATCTTTTTTTCTATTAATTTTGAGTTTGTTCTTACTTTTCTACTTCCTTGAGGTGCATCATTTGGTTGTTTATTTGAAGTCCTTCCACTTTTGTATATAAGCATTTATTGCCATAATCTTCCCTCTTCGTACTGCTTTTTCCATATCCCATAGATTTTGGTATGTGGTAGGCTTTTTTTTTTTCATTTCTTTCAAAAGATTTTCTTAAATTTCCTTCTTCATTTTTTTTTTTTTTACTGGCTCATTCATAAAGAGCATGTTGTTTAATTTTCATGTGTTTATGTATTTCTGAGTTTCCTCATTATTGATTTCTAGTTTTCTTCCACTATGATCAGAAAATACACTTGATTTAATTTCTACTTTTTTGAATTTGTCGAGACTTGTTTTGTGGCCTAAGATATGGTCTATTTTAGAGAATGTTCCATGTGCTGATGAAAACAATGTGTGTAATGCAGCAGCGAGGTGAAATGTTCTGAAACTATCTATGTCTATTTGGTTTAGTGTGTAGTTTAACTGATGTTTCTTTGTTAACTTTCTGTCTGGATAATTTGTCCATTCCTGAGATTGAGTTGTTGATGTCCCCTGCCATTATTGTATTGCAGACTATCTTTCCCTTTAAATCTATTAACGTTTGCTTTATATGCTTAAGTGTATAGATATTTACAATTGTTATATCCTCTCACTGAATTGGCTTCTTTATTATGTGGTGACCTTCTTTGTCTCTTTTTACAGTCTCGGATTTGTATCCTATTTTGTCTAAAATAAGTGTAGCTACTCCTGCTCTTTTTAAGTTTCTAGTTGCATAGAATATCTTTTAACACTCCATCACTTTCGGTCTATGTGCCTTTATAGATGAGGTGGATATTGGGTCTGATTTATCCATTCAGCCACTTTGTGCCTTTTAATTGAAAAATTGATTCAATTTACATTCAGTGACAGTATTGATAAGTAAGGACTTACTACTGCCATTTTGTTGCTTTATTTCTCTTTCTTTCATTCTTTTATTTTTAAAAGATGACAACTTGTCTTAGCTCACAAATAAAAAAAAGAAACAAACCAAGAAAACAACAACAAAAAAACAACTCTACACTTTAATTCCATTTTTCACATTTAGACTTAAGTTGTCTCAATTTTCATATTTTTATATTGCCTGTCTCTTAACAGGTTGCTGAGGTTATTATTGTTTTTGATAAATTTGTCCTTTGGGCTTTATAATAAAGTTATGAGTGGATCACACACCAAAATTACAGTATTAGAGTAGTCTGGGTTTATCCGTATACTTAGAATTGCCAGTGGGTTTTATACTTTCAAATGTTTTGTTTTTGCACATTAGTATCTTTTTCTTTCAGGATGAAAAACTCCTTTTAGCATTTCTTATAATACATGACAGGTGGTGGTGAATTATCTCAGCTTTTATCTGGGAAATACTTTATCTCTTCTTCATATTTGAAGACTAGCTGGCTGGGCGCTGTGGCTCACATCTGTAATCCCAGCATTTTGGGAGGCCAAGATGGGTAGATCACGAGGTCAGGAATTCAAGACCAGCCTGGCCAAGATGGTGAAACCCCATCTCTACTAAAAATATAAAAATTAGCTGGGCGTGATGGTGGAGGCCTGTAATCCCAGCTACTCGGGAGGCTGAGGCAGGGAATTGCTTGAATCCGGGAGGCAGAGGTTGCAGTGAGCTGAGATCGCGCCACTGCACTCCAGCCTGCTCACCAGAGCGAGACTCCATCTCAGAAAAAAAAAAAGAAAAGAAAAGAAAGAAAAAAAAGAAGAATAGCTTTCCTGGGTACAATATTGTTGGATGACAGTGGTTTTGTTTGTTTGTTTGTTGCAGTTTGAAAATGTCATCATACACCCTTCTGGCCTGAATGGTTTTTGTTAAGTCTGTTAGATGAATCGAAGCTCTTTTATATGTTATTTTCTTATTTTATATTGATGCTTATAGGATCCTCTCTTTGTGCTTGACATTTGAGAATTTGATTATTATATGCCTTGGAGTACTCTTATTTGACTTTAATTATTTTGGTGTTCTCTGACCTTCCCGTACCTAGATATTTATCTCTTTCTTAAGTTTTGGAAAATTTTATGCTATTATTTCTTCTGATAAGCTTTGTACCTTGCTCTTGCTTAGCTCCCCTTTGAACACCAATAATTCTTAGAGCTGGTTTTTTGAGATATTTTTCTATATTTTACTTTATCTTCATTTATTTTTATTTTTCTCCTGACTGTATTTTCAAATAGCCTGTCTTTGATCTCCCTGATTATTTTCTATGTTTGATCTATTCTGCTGTTGAAGGCCTCTAATAAATTTTTCAGTTAAGTGAATGTATATCTCAGTTCCACAGTTTATGCTTGATATTGTCTTATTATTTCATTTGCAAAGTTTCTATGATTAATTCCTGATTGATTTTTTATGTTATCTTGGAAAACACTATTTCTTTAAATTGCTATTTTAAATTCTTAGAGAGTTAACAAATCACCATCTCATTAGGGTCAGTCACTAGTTTCTTGCTTTGTACATATGAGAATGTCATAATTCCCTTTGCTGTTGTTTGTGTGGCAGTATGTCTATTTCTTTGCATTGAAATATTAATTATTTATTCCAGTTTTCTCTGCTTGGCTTGTTTTTGTTGTTGTTGTTAGATATGTTTGCTTAGAGATTTTTTATAATTTGCCTATTGATTTTTCTTCTTTTCTTTTCCTTTCTTTACTTTTCTTTTTTTTTTTTTTTCTGCTAGGTTGATGCCTTCATTAGGGCACTAGATGGAGCCTTAAGCCCAGGTTTGCTGCAGTTCTAGTAAACAGAATGTCTTTCATCCAGAATGAGGGATGTAACAGGAGAAATATCCCAGTAGTGTGGGAAAGCTAATTAGGGGTTTGTACCCATGGGAACTATGGGATAAAACTTCTAAAATGTGGTGATACTGAACAGTTGCTCTGAATTGATGTCTCCTTTGGGTGAGTTACAAAGCAGAGTTTTCAGGGCTAGGAATGGTTGTCCTTCCTTCTCCATTTGTCTCTCACTGTCTTCAGGAATATTTCTCCCTTCAGGCACTCCCAATGCTTCCCGTGGGTTGAGGCAGGAATGTGTTTTTTTGTCAGTGAAGCTGAGATCGTCAGGATGGTGGTGCCCCCTCTTGATCCCACTTTTTCCAGTGTAGAGACCATTAGTCCTAAGGAAGATTTTTATGTGTTTGGTGGTGGGAAGATTGGAGGAACGGTCATCACAGATGTGGAAGTCTGAATCTCTTACATATGCTCTAAGGTTTCTTGACTTTCCTGCCGTCCTGGGAACTGTCACATCTTCCTGTGTGAGGTCTGGGCTATTGCTGGAGAGAATCTTGGCACTATATGTTTGTTTTTAGTTTTCTATGGGGGTGGTGAGGCCAGCTTTCTGCTATGCTGCCATTTTGAAACTGAAAGTCAGTGTTGAAAATTTTTTTATGTACTTGGTCATTTGTATTTATTCTTTGAAAAATGTCTATTTGCCAAAATTTTGTAATAGATTTTTTTTTCTGTTCAGTTGTTTGAGTTCCTTATATATTCTGGACATTAACGCCTTGTGAATGAATAGTTTGCAAATATTTTCTCCTATTCTTCAGGTTGTCTCTTTCCACTGCTGATTGTTTCCTTTGCTGTTCAGGAGCTTTTTTGTTTGACATAATCTCATTTCTCTATTTTTCTTAATGCCTTCACTTTTGAAGTATTACTCATAAAATCTGTACCTAGAACAATGTTCTAAGGCATTTCCCCTATGTTTTATTCTTTTATAATTTGTGTCTTACATCTAAGTTTTTAATGCATTTTGAGTTGTTTATTATATATGGTAAAAGATGGAAATTTAGATTTATTCTTCTACATGTCGATATCCAGTTTGTCTAAAACTATTTACTGAAAAGAGTGGCATTTTCCTAATGTATGTTCTTGACTCCTTTTTTGAAAATCAGTTAGCTATAAATATGTGAATTTATAATTGGTTTCTCAATTCTGTTTCATTGACATATGTGTGTTTTATTACAATTCCATGCTTTTTACATTTTTGTTTCTTTTTTTATTGAAGTGAAAAATACATATATAATTTATTATTTTGCTGTTTTGAAATGCGAAGTTTAGTGGTAATATATGCTTATGTACTTATTATAAATATAAAATCTTCTTTGTTTCTTTCATTTCCGCCTTTGATAACCATTAATCTACTCTTCATTTTCATGAGATTCACTATTTTAGCTCCATCATATGAGTGAGAAAATGTGATATTTGTCTTTCTGTGCCTGACTTATTTCACTTAATATAGTGATCTCCAGTTCCATCTGTGTTCCTTAAAATGACAGGATTTCATTCTTTTTATGGCTGAATAATATTTTGTTATGCATATATGCCATATTGTCTTTATCCACTTATTCATTGGTGAGCATTTATGTTGATTCCATATTTTGAACTATTCTAAATAATGCAGCAATAACATGGAAATGCAGACATCTCTTTGATGTACTGATTTCCTTTCTTTTGAATATATACCCAGTAGTAGAATTGCTTAATATATGGTAGCACTTTTTTTTTTTCAGTGTCTTGCTCTGTTACCTGGGTTGGAGTACACTGGGGTGATCTTGACTCACTGCGACCTCTACCTTCTGGGCTCCAGTGATCCTCCCACCTCAGCCTCCCTAGTAGCTGGGACTATAGGTGCATGCCACCATGCTGGGCTAATTTTTTTAATTTTTTTGTGGAGATGGAGTTTCACCATATTGCCCAGGCTGATCTTGACATTGGGCTCAAACAATTCACCTATCTTGGCCTCTCAAAGTGTTGGGATTACAGGTGTCAACCACCATGCCTAGTGGTAGATCTATTTTTTCTTCTTTGAGAAACCTCCATAATGTTCTCCATAGTCACAGTATTAATTTATATTCTCAGCAACAATGTACAAGAGTTTTCCTTTCTCAATACTCTTGTGAGTTATTGCCTGTGTTTTTGATAAAAGCTATTTTAACTGGAGTGAGATGATGTCTCACTGTGATTTTGATTTGCATTTCTCTGATGATTTGTTATTTTTAGCATTTCTCATACACATGTTTGTCATTTATGTACTTCTGAGAAAAGTCTATTCAGATCTTTTGCTTTTTTTTTTTTTTGAGATGAAGTTTTGCTCTTGTCACCCGGGTTCAAGAGATTCTCATGCCTTAGCCTCCTGAGTAGCCGGGATTACAGGCCCCTGCCACCATGCCCAGTTAATTTTTGTATTTTCAGTAGAGATGGGGTTTCACCATGTTGGCCAGACTGGTCTTGAACTCCTGACCTCAGGTTATCCACCCGCCTCAGCCTCCCAAAGTACTGGGATTACAGGCATGAGCCACCAGACACGGCCTTTTGCTTATCTTTTAATTGAATTATTATTATTATTTTGCTCTTGAACTGTTTAAGCCACTTATATATTCTGGTTATTAATCCTTTGTCAGATCAATGGTTTGCAACTGTTTTCTTCAATTCTGTGGATTGTCTTCATTTTTTTGATTGTTTCATTTGTTGCGTGAAAGCTTTTTAGCTTGAGGTAATCTTATTTGTCTATTTTTGCTTTGGTACCCTGTGCCTTTCAGGTCTTACACACAAAAAAATTTGCCCAGACCAATTTCCTACAGTGTTTCCCCAATGTTTTCTTCTAGTAGTTTCCTAGTTTCAGGTAGTAGATTATAGTTTCTAATTTATTTTTATTTTATTTTTGTGTGTGGTGAAAGATGGCAGTCTAATTTTTTTTTTGGCATAGTTAATCGATTTTTCCAACACATTTATTGAAACAACTGTCCTTTTCCCATTGTGTGTGCTTGGCACCTGTGTCGAAGATGAGATTTTTTGCAGCTGGGGTAGTATATATCTGTGTTCTCTATTCTCTTCTTTTGCTCTGTGGGTCTGTTTTTATGCCAATATCATGGTGTCTTGGTTGCTATAGCTTTGATATATATATATATATATATGTATATCAATGATACTTCAAGTTCTGGGATACATGTGCAGAACAGGCAGGCTTGTTACATAAGTATAAATGTACCATGGTGGTTTGCTGGACCCATCAAACTGTCATCTACATTTGGTATTTCTCCTAATGCTATCCCTCCTCATGCCCCCCACCCCCCAACAGGCCCCAGTGTGAGATGTTCCCCTCCCTGTGCCCATATGTTTTTATTGTTCAACTCCCACTTATGAGTGAGAATATGTGGTATTTGATTTTCTGTTCCTGTGTTAGTTTGTTGAGAATGATGGTTTCCAGCTTCATCCATGTCCCTGCAAAGGACATGAACTCATCCTTTTTTATGGCTGCATAGTATCCCACAGTGTATATGTGCCACATTTTCTTTATCCAGTCTAACATTGATGGGCATTTGGGTTGGTTCCAAGTCTTTGCTATTGTGAATAGTGCTGCAATAAACATACGTGTGCATGTGTCTTTATAGTAGAATGATTTATAATCATTTGGGTATATACCCAGTAATGGGATTGGTGGGTCAAATGGCATTTCCAGTTCTGGATCTTTGAGGAATTGCCACACTGTCATCCACAATGATTGAACTAAGTTACACTCCCACCAACAGTGTAAAAGTGTTCCTATTTCTCTGCACCCTTTCCAGCATCGGTTGTTTCCTGACTTTTTAATGATTGCCATTGTAACTGGCCTGAGATGGTATCTCATTGTGGTTTTGACTTGCATTTCTCTAATGACCAGTGATGAGCTTTTTTTCATATGTTTGTTGGCCACATAAATGTCGTGTTTTGAAAAGTGTCTGTTCATATCCTTTGCCCACTTTTTGATGAGTTTTTTTTTTCTTGTACATTTCTTTAGGTTCCTTGTAGATTCTGGATATTAGCCCTTTGTCAGATGGATAGATTGTAAAAATTTTCTCCCATTCTGTAGGTTGCCTGTTCACTCTGATGATAGTTTCTTTTGATGTGCAGAAGCTCTTTAGTTTAATTAGATCCCATTTGTCAATTTTGGCTTTTGTTGCCATTGCTTTTAGTGTTTTAGT
Source organism: Homo sapiens (assembly GCF_000001405.40). NCBI lineage: Eukaryota > Metazoa > Chordata > Mammalia > Primates > Hominidae > Homo > Homo sapiens. Next base: position 88,609,289 of record NC_000023.11, on the reverse strand, counting down.
CATGAAGTCTTTGTCCATGACTGTGTCATGAATGGTATTGCCTAGGTTTTCTTATAGGGTTTTTATGGTTTCAGGTCTTACTTTTAAGTCTTTAATCCATTTTGAGTTAATTTTTGTATAAGGTATAAGGAAGGGGTCCAGTTTCAGTTTTCTGCATATGGCTAGCCAGTTTTCCCAACACCATTTATTAAATAGGGAATCTTTTCCCCACTGCTTGTTTTTGTCAGATTTGTCAAAGATAAGATGGTTGTAGATGTGCGGTGTTATTTCTGAGGCCTCTGTTCTTTTCCATTGGTCTATATATCTGTTTTGGTACCAGTAGCATGCTGTTTTGGTTACTGTAGCCTTGTAGTATAGCTTGAAGTCAGGTAGCATGATGCATTTGACTTTTGTATTGTTTGCTTCAAAAATTATTGTTTTGTCCAAGGTGGCAGTGGGTTCTTAAATTACCTGTAATTTTTTCCAAGTGGTGTCCTTTGCATAGACATTATTTTTTTTAAAAAAAGTCTGAGTTAAATGAGACAAAGGCAAACTCCTCATTTTAGTCCACCAAGAAACTTCCAGTTAGATCAAAACAGGCAAACACTATTTTCAAGAAACCAAATATGATCTGCTCCATAAACCAAAAATAAAATTTAAAGACCTCTAAGCAGGTGTTGGACCCTCCCCTCAGGTAAGGGAATTCCAAAGTTAACCTGTAAAGCTAGTTCAGGCCATGATGGAAAGAGTAGATTGCACATGGTTCATTATTTCCTCCTCCCTTTTGAAATTCAGGCACAGCTGTCCAGCATTAACGTTAAAACAGAACTTTAGACTGACAAAGCAGGCATTTTTTGTAGTGATAAGACATCTAATTCCAGCTTGACTCTAGTACGGCATCACATGACACATAGCTGGGCTTGAAAGAAGTTAAGGTATTTTACCCCAAATTAGATTTATTTGACATATTTTAAGATGGGCATGCAAAGCTGTCTCTTGTGAGGAAAATCTACATTATGTAGAGAATCCCTGTTCTTTTGCGGGTCTTTTCCCTGATTCAGGAGAGAATTAACAAATGTCTTGGAACTTTTCTTAGTCTGATAAGAATTCTGAAGCCTGCAACATAGAAGCTTCATCTGCATGATAAGCCCTTGGTCTCCACAACCTTTTATCTTAACCCAGATATACTCGTTGCTATTGATTCCAGGTCTTTAGATAGTAACTATTTCAACCAATTGCCAATTAGAAAATCTTTTAATCTGTCTATGACCTTGAAGCCTCCACTTACAGTTGTCTCACCTTTCTGGACTAAATTAACGTATATTTTACATGTATTTATCAATGTCTTTTATCTCCCTAAAATTTATAAAACCAAGCTGGAGCCTGACCAACTCAGGCCCATACTCTCAGGATTTCCTGATGGCTGTGTCATAGACCATCGTTCATGCATATTTGGCTCAGAATAAATCTCTTCAAATGTTTTACAGAGTTTGACTTTTTTATGAACAGCTCTCTCCTGCCTCTGGTGTGAAACCATACCAGAAACACAGTCAGTCATCTTTATACTGTCACCATATCTGTAAGAAGATTGGGGTAAGATTATATTAAATTGCCACAAAGCTCTAATGTGTTTCAGTAATATTTTTCTGTTTAAGCATTTGCTTGGCTGTTGTAAACCTCTGACTGTTAACCAGAGTTCTTATAATGTTGATTCCAACAATTTTTGATAGCTTTTTATTTTATTTTTTGGCGTTTCTGGTGACTGGTGAGTAAAGGTACGTAAAGTTTATTATTTTGCCAATTTTGCCTATGTCATTTCTTTTTACCTTTACTTTTCAGATATAGTTTTGCTTTATATAATATTCCAAATTGACTTTTTTCTTTTAGAACTTCGTAGATTTTATCCTACTGTCTTCTATTCTCCACTGTCATTGAGTGGAAAATCAGCTGTTACTTTCATGGGATTCCTTTGTATGATAATTTTTTTTCTCTTGCTGCTTTCAAGATTTTGTCTTAATCTTTCAGGATTTTTAATTAGATGCCTTTAGGTATGAATCTCTTTGTATTTATTCTACCTGGATTTCAATGAGTTTTTATGTGTACATTTGTTTTTCATAAAATATGGGAAGATTTCAGCAATTATTTCTTGAATGTGTTTTGTTTCTTTCCCTACAATTTCTCTCCTGACATTTCCATTAGATGTGTGCTAATATATGTACCAGTGTTCTGCAATAGTGAGATTCTGTTCAGTTTTCCCACACTTTTTTTCTCTTTGTATTTGAATTACATAATGTTTATCAATCCATCTTTGATTTCACAGATTCTTTCTTCTGTGTATTAAAACCAATTGTTGAATAACTTCAGTGAGTTTATCACTTCAATTATTGTACTTTCACCTACAAAATTTCATTTTTAAAAAATTTTTGTTTCTTTACTGATTTTTTTCTATTTGAGGAGTGTCAACAAAGAGTGTCAAACTCTGTAAAATATTTGAAAAGATCTCTTCTGAGCCAAATATGAATGACCATGGCCTATGACACAGCCCTCAGGAGATCCTGAGACCATGTGCCCAAGGTTATCAGGGTGCAGTTTGGTTTTATACATTTTAGGGACACATGCAACTTCAATCAAATACATTTAATAAATACATTGATTTGGTCCAGAAAGGCAGGACAACTTGAAGTGGGGGCTTCCAGTTGATTGGTACATTTGAAATTTTTCCAATTAGCAATTGGTTGAAAGAACTATCAATAGAAAGAATGTCTGGGTTGTGATAAGAGGTTGTGAAGACCAAAGTTTTATCATGCAGATGAAGCCTCTGGATAGCAGGCTTCAGAGAGAATAGACTATAAATGTTTCTTAACAGACCTAAGGTCTGTGTTGTTGTAAATTCCGGAGAGGTATAATGAGACATGTCAGATTCCCACTTCTCATCATGGCCTGAACCAGTCTTTCAGGTTAAATTTTAAAGCCCTGGCTTAAGAGGAGGTCCATTCAGATCGGTGAAGGGTATTAGAATTTTATTTTTAGTTTACAGGAGGCATTGCCATCATACCTTCCTAAAACATGGTTTCTCTTGGTTCTCTGAATGCATAAATATTTTTTGCTTTGAAATTTTTGTTAATTGCAACATCTGGACTCTCTTTCAAGTGGTCTTGTTACCTGTCTTTAAAAATTCTGTGTTTGTGTAAAAGTTACCTGTCTCTTTGTGTTTTGTGATTGTTTGTTAAAAATTTTGGACAATATTTTTGTAATAAATGTAGCAAATTTGAAAAATAATCCCCTCACCAACAAAACTTAAAAGGATTTTCTTAAAGAGCGCGCAGTGGAGGAGGCTAAACAAAGCATGGCCACGTGGTTACAGGTCATGCTTCAAAGGAGGTAAAACAAGATGGAGACCTGCAGCAAAGTTTGCTACTGACCATCCAGAAAGACACGCAAAGTACACCAGATTGGCTACAGCTTAACACCAACCTCACAAATCCTTTTTCATAATTAAAACTTTACAAAGACTATTAGCAATGATCCTTATTATTCCTGGGCTAGTAAAACATCTTTTAAAAAGAAAAAAAGCATCCCTTAAAAGTTAACTCCTGACCTGGTAGAGAAAAGAGAAAAAAAAAAGCTTAAAATTCAGGACTGTGTTAACTCCTGACAGGGTAGAGAAAAGGAAAAAAAAGTTTAAAGTGCAGGGTTGAGCCTGGGGGAAGAACCAATTATTCTTCCCCCCAAAATAAGAAAAAGGCCAACAACATTCTTGACCCCTGGGAGTAACAGGGTGGGGTAGGCGGCATAATTTCCTCTACCCTCAGAAGAAATCTGAGACCACAAAGGCTTAAAAGTGACAGGGAAAAAGATTTTTGGTTTGCGTGTTACTCACGCTTTCTCATGTCCCAATGTTTGGGCACCAAAATGTTGCAGAACTTTGATCTTTAGTTCAGCTAAAAGCAAGTTCTTGTCACACAACCAGAAAAAGACACACAGACACATTGAAAGGTTAGGGGAATTTATTGGATGAAAAGGAAAAAAAGGAAAAATAAAAACTCTCAGCAAAGCAAGAGGGGTTCGTGCTAACAGGCCCCCATCTCACAGATTGATTGCAGGCCACGCACACAGGAACTGAATAGGCCAGGCTTCTCCCGGCTGCAAACAGCGTGAACTTCCCATGGCTCCACTCCTTCCTCCAAGTGTGCAGGCTGGTCAGAGGTTCTCTGGGGACCTGCCCCCTTAACTTCCTCCTGCATATATCACAAGCTCTGGCCTTCCTGGCGTACTTGTTGACATTTCATCTACAAGCAAGCAAGCTGGAATGAGAATAATCACATGTCTTGTATTTACCTGCCACAGCTGATGACCCTTTGGCCATGCCTTCCTGGAATTTAGCTCCTGCAACACAGCTTGGGAGTGATGAGAAATGCAAGCACCCTATCCTGGGAAAGTAGCATAACACATAACTGGAGGCTGGAGGAAATAAAGCCCTGTATTTTTGGCCACAACCACCTTTATTAAAGTTTCTATCATGTTAACCATGTGGCAAGATAGTAGAAGGTAGATCTCTAACTCTACAAACTATAGACATTTTTTAAAACCCTCAACAAACAAGACATTGCACAAATATGCTTCAAAATAATAAGAGCTGTCTATGACAAACCCATAGTCAACATTGTACTGAATGAGCAAAAGCTGGAGTCATTCCCCTGGAATTCCAGAAGATAAGGATGCCCTCTCTCACCACTTTTATTCAACAGAGTACTGGAAGTCCTGGCCAGAGCGATCAGGCAATTGAAATAAAATAAAAGGCATCCAAAAAGGAATAGAGGAAGTCAAACTATTCCTGTTTTCAGAGCATGTAATTCTATACATAGAAATCCCATAGTCTCTGCCCAAAACCTACTTGATCTGATAAACAACTTGAACAAAGTTTCATCATACCAAACAATATGCAAAAATCAGTAAGACTCCTATACCCCAACAACATCTAAGCTGAGAGCCAAATCAAGAATGCAATCCCATTCACGATGGCCATAAAAAGAATAAAATACCTAAAAGTACTGCTAACCATGGAGGTGAAAGATCTCTACCAAAAGAATTACAAAACGCTGCTCAAAGAAATCAGAGATAACACAATCAAATGGAAAAGCATTTAAGGAAGAATCAATATTGTTAGGATGGGCATACTACCCAAAGCAATTTAGAGATTTAAAGTGATTCCTATCAAACTATCAATGACATTCTTCAGAGAATTAGTAAAAACTATTTCAAAATTCATATGGAACAACAACAACAAAAAATAGCCTGAATAGCTAAAGCAATTCTACACAAAAAGAATAGCGCTGAAGGCATCACTTTACCTGACCTCAAACTATACTTCAAAGGTACAGTAACCAAAAAAGGATACTGGTACAAAACAGGCACATAGACCAATTGAATAGAATAGAGAGCTCAGAAATGATACCACATACCTACAATCATCTGGAATTCATGGAGGTGGACAAAATCAAGCAATGGGGAAAGGACTCATTTAATAAATAGTGCTGGGATAACTGGCTAGCCATATGCAGAAGATTGAAACAGGACTGCTCCAATACATTACCCCAGTAGCCTGAGAACTGCTTCACAAACCCCACAGGGCATGCAGCTTGCCCTACACATGGAGAGTCAGAGTACAGAACTGCCTGATTCAGCCCCCACCTGACTGTGCCCCTCTACCTGCCCTGGTATATTAACACAAATGATAAAAACTTTGGGGAGCTTTATGGCTCTGTCCATCACCCAAGAAACCAGAATACCTTCCCTGGGCAACATAAAAACACGCTCAAATCCTACTGCTACTACTGCAGATGGTGCTCTTTTGCACGCGCCACCTTCTGGCTGGGGTCAAACTGACTCAGTCTGTTACAGCATCACTAGGTAGAATAACACTGCTCCCAGAAAGGAGAAAACCAGGGTGTGAACTCAGATATCACCATTGCCTCTAACACCCTGGCTAAGTAGAAGGTTCTGAGTCTGTCTACTTGGCCAGTTCACCATTATTATAATCAGCTTTTGAGAAAGCCAGCACACTAAGGCTACCTATAACTAAGAAAATACACAGAGTCTGTATCACTCTCCTATTATCCCCATCAGAGCTCATGCTGGTACCCACTGCTGGGAGATTTGAGAACAGGTCACATCACCAGATCCCTTGCATATTCCATAGCACCAGCTGGGTCGTGGCAGCCCTACTCGTGGCTAGATCCAGAAGAACAATAACAATCAGACAGAATGTCATCAAAGAAACAATGGACTTAAACTACACTCTAGAATAAACAGACTTAACAGCTATTTACAGAACATTCTACCCAACAACTGCAGAATATACGTTCTTCTCATCAGCACATGGAACATTCTCCAAGATAGACTATATGATAGGACAAAAACACAAGTCTCAATACATTTAAGAAAACTGAAACCATATTAAATATCTCCTCAGAACACAGTGGATTAAAACTAGAAATAAACATAAAAGGGAACCCTCAAAATTATGCAAATACATGGAAAATAAATAATCTACTTTGGAATGATTTCTGGGTTAGCAAGGAAATCAAGATGGAAATATAAATTTTTTAAAATGAATGATAATAGTGACACAAGTTATCAAAACCTCTGGAATACAGAAAAAGCTATGCAAAAAGGAAAGTTAATAGTTAAATGCCTATATCAAAAAGTCTGAAAAAGCACAAATTGACAACATAATGTACCACCTCAAGGAACCATAGAAACAGGAACAAACTAAACCCAAAGACAGCAGAAGAAAAGAAATAACAAATATCAGACAACTAAATAAAGTTGAAACAAAGAAAATACCAAATATAAATGAAACAAAAAGCTAGTTCTTTGAAAAGATTAGCAAAATTGTGAGACCATTAGTAAGACTGACCAAAAATGAAGAGAGAAGATAGATCCATCTAAGCTCAATTTGAAATGAAACTGGAGACATTACAACATATTCCCCAGAAATACAAAAGATCATTTGAGACTACTATGAACACCTTTATGCACACAAAATAGAAAACCTAGAGGGAATGAATAAATTCCTGAAAACATACAATCCTCCTAGACTCAATCAGAAAAATAAATAGAAATCCTGAAGAGACCAATAACAAGCAGCAAAATTGAATCAATAATTTAAAAAAGCCAACAAAAATCCCAAAACCAGATGAATTCATAGCTAAATTCTACCAGAAATTCAAAGAACGATTGTTGCAAATCTTACTGAAACTATTCCAAAAGATTGAGAAACACGGAATCCTTGTGAAATTATTCTTTGAAGCCAGTATCACCCTGACACCAAAAGCAGGAAAGAAAATAATAAAAAAAAACCATAGACCAATATCCCTGATAAACTTTGATGCAAAAATCCTCAACAAAATACTAGCTAACTGAATCCAACATCACATCAAAAATATAACACATCATGGCCAAGTGGGTTTTGTCCCAGGAGTGCAGAGATGGCTTAACATATTCAAGTCAATAAATGTTATAGATCACATACACAGAATTAGACTAAAGTATAGGATCATCTCAATAGATGCAAAGCATTTGATAAAATCCAGCATCTGTTTATGATAAAAATCCTCAATAAACTAGGCATAGAAGAGACTTACCTCAAAATAATAAAAGCCATATATGACATACCCACAGCAAACATCATACTAAAAGGAAAAAAGTTGAAAAATTTCACCCTGAAAACTTTAAGGAGAGAAGGATGCCCATTTTCACCACTTCTATTTAACATAGTACTAGAAGTCCTAGTCAGAGCAATCAGGCAAGAGAAAGAAATAAAGGACATCCAAATATAAAAAGAAAAAGTCATACTAGTACTGTTCACTGATAAGATTCTATACCTAGAAAACTCTAAAGGCTGTTTCAGAAGACTCCTAGATATGATAAATGAATTTAGTAAAATCTCAGGATGCAAAATCAATGTACACAAACCAGTAAAAATGATAAATACTAAAAATGTCCAAGCTGAGAATTAAATCAAGAACTCAATCTTGTTTACAGGAGCTAAAAAAAAATCTAGGAATATACTTAGACAAAGAGGTAAAGTATATTTACAAAGAAAACTACAAGACACTGCTGAAATAAATCATAGATGACACAAACAAATGGAAACTTATCCCATGCCTATGGGTGGGAAAAATTCGTATTGTAAAAATGATCATACTGCCCAAAGCAATCTACAGATTCAAAGCAATTTCCATAAGAACACCACCACCAGCCAGGCGCGGTGGCTCACGCCTGTAATCCCAACACTTTGGGAGGCTGAGGCAGGTGGATCATGAGGTCAGGAGATCGAGACCATCCTGGTTAGCACGGTGAAACCCAGTCTCTACTAAAAGTACAAAAAAATTAGCTGGGCATGGTGGCGGGCGCCTGTAGTCCCAGCTACTTAGGAGGCTGAGGCAGGAGAATGGCATGAACCCAGGAGGCAGAGCTTGCAGTGAGCCGAGATTGTGCCACTGCACTCCAGCTTGGGCGGCAGAGGGAGACTGCATCTCCAAAAAAAAAAAAAAAAAAAAAAAAAAAAAAAAACCACCACCACCATTTTTCACAGAAGTAGAAACAACAATTCTAAAATTCATATGGAACCAGAAAAGAGCCTGAATAGCCAAAGCACTACTAAGCAATAAGAAGAAATCTGGAAGCATTACATTACCAGAGTTCAAAATATACTACAAGGCTATAGTTACCAAAGCAGCATGGTACTGGTATAAAAATAGGCACTTAGACCAACAGAAAAGAATAGAGAACAGAGAATTAAAGCCAAATACTCACAGCCAACTGATCTTTGACAGAGCTTACAAAAATATAAATTGAGCAAAAAACTCCTGATGTATTTGGCTCTGTGTCCCCACTCAAATCTCATCTCAAACTGTAATCCCCATGTGTCAGGAGAGGAGCCTGGTGGAAGGTGATTGGATCATGGGGGCAGATTTCTCACTTGCTGTTCTCATGATAGTGAATGAGTTTTCATGAGTTCTCATTGTTTAAAAGTGTATGGCACCTCCCCATTCTCTCTCTGTCTCTCCTGCCACCATGGTAAGATGTGCTTTCTTCTCTTTTCTCTTCTGCCATGATTGTAAGTTTCCTTAGGCCTCCCAGTCATGCTTCCTGTTAAGCCTGCAAAACTGTGAGTCAATTAAACCTTTTTTCTTTACAGATTACCCAGTCTTGGGTAGTTCTTTATAGCACTGTGAGAATGGACTAATATGGAAAAATGGTACTAGGAGTGGGATACTGATATAAAGATACCTGAGAATGTGGAAGCAACTTTAAATCTGGGTAATGGGCATTGATTAGAACAGTTTTGAGTGCTCAGAAGATAGGAAGATGTGGGAAAGTTTGGAACTTCCTAGAGACTTGTTGAATGGTTTTGTTAAAAATGCTAATTGTGATATGGACAATGAAGTACAAGCTGAGGTGTTCTCAGATGGAGATGAGAACTGGTGTAAAGGACACTTTTGCTTTGCTCTAGCAAAGAGACTGGTAACATTCTGTCCCTGTCCTAGAGATATGTAGAACTTTTATCTTGAGAGACGTGATTTATGGTATCTGATGGAAGAAATGTCTAAGCATCAAAGCATTCAAGATGTGACCTGGTTGTTTCTAAAAGTGTATGCTCATATGTGTCAGAAAATAGATGGTCTAAAATTGGAACTTATATTAAAAAGAAAAGCAGAACATAAAAGTTTGGAAAACTTGCAGCCTGACCATGTGGTAGAAAAGAAAAACTCATTTTCTAGGGAGAAATTTAAGCCTGCTGCAGAAATTTGCATAAGTAAAGAGGAGCGGAATGTTAATAGCCAAGACATATCTCCAGAGCATGTCAGAGACCTTCACTTCAGTCCCTCCCATCACAAGCCTGGAGGCCTAGAAGGGAAAAATGGTTTCGTGGGCCAGGCCCAGGGCCCAGATGCTTTGTGCAGTCGTGGGACAAGGTGCCCTGTGTCCCAGCTGCTCAAGCTCCAGTCCTGGCTAAAAGGGCCAAGATACAGCTTAGGCCATTGCTTCAGAGTGAGCAAGCCCCAAGACTGGGCAGCTTCCATGTGGTGTCGTGCCTGCAGGTACACAGAAGGCAAGAGTTGTGGCTTTGGCAATTCCACCTAGATTATAGAGGATGTATGGAAATGCTTGGATGGCCAGGAGGAAGTCTGCTGCAGGAGCAGAGCCCTCATGGAGTACCTCTACTACAGAAGTGCAGAGGGGAAATGTGGGGTTGGAGCCCCCACACAGAATCCCCACTGGGCCACTGCCTAGTGGAGCTGCAAGAAGAGGGCCACCATCCTCCATAGTGCAAAATGGTAGATCCACTGACAGCTTGCACTATGTGCCTAGAAAAGCCACAGTCACTCAATGCAAGCCTATGAAAGCAGCTGTGGTGCTGTACCCTGCAGAGCCACAAAGGCAGAGCTGCTTAACGCCTTGGAAGCCCACCCCTTGCATCAGTGTGCTTTGGTTTTGAGACTTGGAGTCAAAGGAGATTATTTTATAGCTTTGAAATTTAATGACTGCCCTGTTCTATTTCAGACTTTCATGAGGCCTGTAGCTCCTTTGATTTGGCCAATTTCTCCCTTTTGGATTGGGAGCATTTACCCAATTCCTGTATCTTCATTTTATCTTGGAAGTAACTTGTTTTTTATTTTACAGTCTCATAGGTGGAAGGGACTTGCCTTGTCTCAGATGAGACTTTGAATGTGAACTTTTGAGTTAATGCTGGAATGAGTTAAGACTTTGGGTGGCTGTTGGGAAGGCATGATTGTCTTTTGAGATGTGAAAGCAACATGACATTTGAGAGGGGCCACAGCCAGAAAGATATGGTTTGGCCCTGTGTCCCCACCCAAATCTCATCTTGAATTTTAATGTCCACATGTTGGGGGAACAGCCTGTAGAAGGTTATTGGATCATGGGGGTGAATTTTCCCCTTGCTGTTCTCATAATATTGAATGAGTTCTTACAAGATCTGATTATCTAAAAGTATGAGGCACCTCCTCCTTCTCTCTCTGTCTCTCCTGCTGCCATGGTAAGATGTGCTTGCTTCCCCTTCACTTTCCCCCATGATTGTAAGTTTCTAGAGGCCTCCAATTCATGCTTCCTGTTAAGCCTGCAGAACTATGAGTCAATTAAACCTCTTTTCTTCATAAATTACCCAGTCTCAGCTCGTTCATTATAGCACTGTGAGAACACACTAATACAACACCTTATTCAATAAATGGTGCTGGGAAAACTGGCAAGCCATGGGTAGAAGCATGAAACTGGATCCTCATCTCACGTCTTATACAAAAATCAACTCCAGGTGAATCAAAGACCTAAATCTCAGATCTGAAACCACAAAATTCTAGATGAGCATAGATAAAACTATGGACATTGCCTAGGTAATGATTTTATGATAAAGACCCCCAAAACAATGAAAAAATAAATGAATAAGTTGGATATAATTAAACTAAAAAGTTTCTGCACAACAAAACAAATAATTGGCAGAGTAAACAGACAACCCACAGAATGGGAGAAAATATTTGCAAACTATGCATCTCACAAAGGACTAGTGTCCACAATCTACAAGAAACTCAAATCAGTCGGAAAAAAACCACAAATAATTCCATCACAAACTGTGCAAAGGACATGAATAGACATTTCTCAAGATATACAAATGGCCAACAAACATATGAAAAAATGCTCAACATCAGTAATAATCAGGAAAATGCAAAGTAAAAAGGGAACACTTTTACACTGTTGGTGTGAATGTAAATTAGTACAACCTCTATGGAAAACAATATGGAGATTCCTTAAAGGACTAAAATTTGATCTAGTATTTGATCCTGCAGTCCCACTATTGGGTATCTACTCGAGGAGAAGAAGTCTTGTATGAAAAAGCCATTTTCACATGCATGTTTGTAGCAGCACAATTCACAATTGCAAAGCTATGAACCCAAAGTGTCCATCAATTAACAAGTGGATAAAGAAATGTGGTATATATACACCATGGAATACTATTCAGTCATAAAAAGGAACAAAATAATGCTGTTTGCAGCAACTTGAAAGGTGTAGGAGGTTATTATTCTAAGTGAAGTAACTCAGGAATGGAAAACCAAATATTTTATGTTCTCACTTATAAGTGGGAACTAAGCTATTTAGATGCAAAGGCATAAGAATGATATAATAGACTTTGGAGACTCAGGGCAAAGGTTGGGAGGAGGATGAGGGATAAAAGACTATATATTGGGTAAAGTGTACAATATTTGGGTAACAGGTGCACCAAAATCTCAGAATTTACCAGTATAGAATTCATCCATGTAACCAAAAACTACCTGTTTCCCAAAATCTATTTAAAAAAAAATCAGACTACACAGCAAGCAAATGGAGGAAACTGAGACTATGCAGAGAATATGAAATAATTTTCATGTTGATAGCAATATTTTAAATTTGAATAAAACTTTATCTGTGGCCGGGTGTGGTGGCTCACACCTGTAATCCCAGCACTTTGAGAGGCCGAGGTGGTTGGATCAGGAGGTCAAGAGATGAAGACCATCCTGGCCAAAATGGTGAAACCCCGTCTCTACTAAAAATACAAAAATTAACTGGGTGTGGTGCTGTGTGCCTGTAGTCCCACCTACTCAGGAGGTTGAGACAGGAGAATCGTTTGAACCAGGGAGGCAGAGGTTGCAGTGAGCCAAGATCGTGCCACGGCCCTCCAGCCTGGTGACAGAGTGAGACTGCGTTTAAAAAAAAAAATTTATCTTTGCCAAAATAAATTTTGACATACACCAAAATTCTCAAAAATTATCAATTTACTTTTTAATAATTTGTTTTTTCTTATTTAAGTTTCATGAGAACAAGAACATTGCCTGCTTTTTCCTCACTGCTCAATCCCTAGTTTCTACAACAATGTGTAACACAGTAATTGATCAAATATGTATTTGTTGAAAAAAAGTTTAAATATCAAATTTATTTCTTATTTTATTCTGTGATACAGGAAAGTAGACATGATAAATATTATGATTTTTATTTTATGGATAAGTAAGTAATTAAAGTTCAGTGAGTAAACTTGTTTCCATGGAAAAATAGAATCGGATTAATCTCATCTTAAAAATATTATCTGATAATTGTTAAACATAATATTGTTGCATATAACTTTTAAATAAAAAAATGCCTTTTGTATAACCTCAAATTGCTTTACATATGCTTCTGACAACCTAGACCTCTTCTATATTTTAATTATTCTAATATAATGTGTTTTATTTATTTATTTATTTATTTTAGATTTATGGGTTATATGTGCCGGTTAGTTACATAAATATATTGTGTGATGTTGAGGTTTGGGCTTCTATAGAAACCATCACCCAAATAGTAAACATAGTATCCAATATGTAATTTTTAACCGTTCTCCCCATATCCCTCCAGTTTTTTGGAATCTTTAGTGTCTTTTGGTCCCATATTTATGTCCATGTGTATGCAATACTTAGCTCTGACTTATAAGTGAGAATGTGTGGTATTTGGTTTTCTGTTTCTGTGTTAATTCCTTTAGAATAATGATCTGCAACTGCATCGATATTGCTGCAAAGGACATGATTTTATTCTGTTTGTGGCTGCATAGTATTTCATGGTGTATATGTACAACATTCTTTATCCTATCCACCATTGATAGGCACCTAGGTTGATACAGTATCTTCACTATTATGAATACTGCTGCAATGAACATATAAGTGCAGATTATTTTTTGGTAAAACTATTTTCCTTTGTAAAAGGAAATTCAAAGAAAGAGATTGCTGGATCGGGTGACAGTTCTATTTTTAGATCTTTGAGAAATTTCCAAATTGCTTTCCCCAGAAGTTTAACTAAATTACATTCCTACCAACAGTGTATAAGCATTTCCTTTTCTCCGCAACCTCACCAATATCTTTGTCAATATGTTTGACATTTTAGCCGTAGCCACTCTGACTGGTGTGAGACATTATCTTATGTGTTCTCAATTTGCATTTCTTTGATGATTAATAATAGTGGGCATTTTTTTCATATGTTCGTTGGCTGTTTGTATGTCTTTAGAGAAGTGTCTGTCCATGACTTTTGCCCACTTTTTAATAAGATTTTTTTTCTCATTGTTTTGTTTAATTTCCTTATGGATTCTGGATATTAGTCCTTTGTTAGATGCATAGTTTGCAAATATTTTCTCACTTTCTGTAGCTTGTCTATTTACTGTGTGGATGGTTTATTTTGCTATACAGAAGCTGTTTAATTATGTCCCACTTGTATATTTTTTGGTTTTGTCATGTTTGCTTTTAAGAACTTAGTCAGAAATTCTTTTCTTAGACCAATGTGCACAAAAACTTTTCGTAGGTTTTCTTGTAGGATTTCAATAGCTTGAGGTTTTACATTTAAATATTAATCCATTATGAGTTAACTTTTATATGTGGTATGAGATAGTGGTCCAGTTTCATTCTTTTGTATATGGTTAGTCAGATATCTCAGCTCCATTTATTAAATAGGGTCTCCTTCCCCCATTTATTTTTCCAACTTTGTCAAAGCTTAGTTAACTGGTTGTAAGTGTGTGGCTTTATTTTGGTGTTCTGTCTTCTGTTCCACTCATCTCTGAGTCTGTTTTTTTACAAGTACTATGATCTTTTGGTTACTATAGTCTTGTAGTGTAGCTTGAAGTCAGGTAATGTGACACATTCAGCTTTGTTTTCCTCCTAGGATTGCCTTGGCTATTCAGGATGACTTTTGTTTTAATACAGATTTAAGAATTTTTTTTAATTCTGTAAAAAATGACATTGGCGGTTTGACAGAAATTGTGTTGAATCTATAGATTCCTTAGGGCTGTGTGGCCATTTTAGTGATGTTGATTCTTCCAATTTATGGACATAAAATATTTTTTCATTTGTCTGTGCTGTCTGTGATTTCTTTCCCACAGCAAACATTATATTGAATGGGCAAAAGCTGAAAACATTACCCTTAAGAACTAAAACAAGAAAAGGATGTCCAATCTCACTACTCCTATTCAAAATAACACTGGAAGTCCTAGTCAGATAAATCAGGCAAGAGAAAGAAACAAAAGGCATCCAAATAGGAAAATAGGAAGTCAATTTATTTCTCTTCACTGATGATGTTTCTATATCTAGAAAACTTAAGATTCCATCAAAAGACTCCTAGACCTAATAAACAACTTCACTACAGTTTCAGGATACAAAACCTATGTACAAAACTCAGTAGCATTTCTATACACCAATAATATTCAAGCTGAGAATCAAATCAATAACACAATTTCATTTATAGTAGTCACACAAAGAATGAAGTACCTAGAAATACTTCTAACCAGGGAGGTGAAAGATCTCTAAAATAGAACTACAAAACACTGATGAAACAAATAATAAAGTGTGTTTAGATCATGTTATCAATTTCAGATAACTTTTGGAAGTATACAGAAGAATAATATAAATCTTGTACTTACATTCAATCCCAGGAAACTTCCTGGTGTATTACTTCTCTAAGTGCAGGATAAACCTTAATTATTCTTGGACCCTTGATTGAGCCTTTGTGTCTAGTTTCTTTTCTCAGTATTAGCATGTGTTTGTATGTGGGGGTGGTACTGGGTGTTTATTTTATTTAAATGTGATCCTATGGTCATTTCAAACTTTTTACTGAGCAAACAAGGTGTCAGTAACATCATCCTACATTTGTGTTAATAAATATTAAATTGTAGAAGAGCATTAGATTTACAGAAAAATTACAAAATTACTACAGAAAGTTCTCATATGCTCCACACCTAGTTTCCCCTATTATTAATACCTAACATGAGTATGATACATTGTTAAAATTTACAAATCAATAAATCCAATTTGACACACTATTATTAATTAAACTCCATATTTTTTTTTATTTTTTAGTTTTAACCTAATGTCTTTTTTTCTATTTCAGTATCCTATCTAGGATATGTCTTTGAAATTAATCATTACGTTTTCTTATGCATCATATACTCTTTTGGCTGTGGCAATTTCTCAGATTCTCTTGGTGTTTGATGACCTTGACAGTTTTTGAGAGGTTCTGCTCAGGTATTTTGTAGAATGACCCTCTATTCCCTCTATTGGTATATGTCTGAGAGTTTTTTATGGTTAGACTCAGTTTACAAGTTTTGAGGAGGAAGACCACAAATCTAAACTGCCACTCTTATCCCATCATAACAAGAGTATGATGTAGATCTTAGTCATCAGTCTGAAGTAGTGTGTGCTAGTTTTATCCACTGTAAAGTTATTCCTCTTTCCTTTTTCATGTTGTGCACTTTGGAAGAAAGGCACAGGTAAAGCCCGGATGTAACAAGTTGTGGTTATGCTCTTGTTACTTCCTATATAAATTATTTGAAATTCTTTTCCACCAGAGATGTATCTATTCTCCTTTATTTATTTCCTTTTCAGCCATTTATTTTTATATCAGTATGGATTCTTGAAACTCTCAGTTAGTCACTATCCTTTACTGATTAAGGGTTCTTATTCTACTGAGAGGTATTTTCTTTTAAAAAGAGAGAGGATATTTGTTAACTAAAATCTCAAATTGGTGAATTTTTACACAGAAAGCTACATGTAGTAAATAAATTCTGATGTAGTGAGAAGAAATTTTTGGTGCATAGGGTCTACTCTTCCTGAGAATCTGCCGGTAGGACAAGTTCCTCTGATTCTCAGCATCTCTCCCTAGGAATTTTTATGTTCTTGACAAACTTACATTACACAGTACTTCTTTTCTTTATTTTTGTTATTTCAATAGCTTTAGTGGTACAAGTAGTTTTTGGTTACATGGCTGAAGTCTAGGATTTTACAGCATCACCTGAGCAGTGTATATTGTACCCAATAAGTAGTTTTTTGTCCCTCACTCCTCTCTCATTCTTCCCTCTTCTGAGTTTCCAGTGTCCATCCTACCACTATGTATACCTTTGTGTACTCACAGTTTTGCTCCAATTTGTAAATGAGAACATGTGGTATTTGGTTTTTAATTCCTGAATTACTTCATTTAGAATAATAGCCTCCAGTTCCTTCCAAGTTGCTGCAAAATACTTTATTTCATTTTTTATGACTGAGTAGTATTCCACTGTGTGTGTGTGTGTCTGTGTGTGTGTGTGTGTATGTGTGTGTGTCACATTTTCTTATCCACTCATCAGTTGGTGGGCACTTAATTTGATTACATATCTTTGCAGTTGTGAACTGTGCTGCAGTAAACATACGTTTGCGTGTGTCTTTTTGATATAGTGACTTTTTTTTTCCTTTGGGTAGATACCCAGTGGTGGGAATGCTGGATTAAATGATAGATCAATTTTTTGTTCTGTGAGAAACTTCCCTACTGTTTTCCATAAAAGTTGTACTAATTTGTATTGCCACCAGCAATGTATAAGGGTCCCTTTTTCACTACATCTATTCCACCTTCTTTTTTTTTTTTTAACTTTTTAATAATGGCCATTCTGGCTGAGGTAAGGTAATATGTCACTGTGGTTTTAATTTGCATTTCCCCGATGATTAGTGATGTTGAGCATTTTTCGTATGTGTATTGGTACTTTCTTAGTCTTAATTGATCTGAGAAATGATCATTTGTTCAAAACTATAATGGGAACAATGTATTTGATTATATGTGTTTATGTATATAACTCTCATAAAAATAAAATAATGAAATTTTATATCATTCAGTTTTTATATATAAGCTGTAGGAAGATGCCATAATTATATTCTCTCAGTTTCCCAGAAAATAAACCCCTCAAAATGAGAGAAAAGGTAAAAACTTATATCAATATTAAAATTAAAAATAATATTCTAGATACTGCCAGCATCTGGAATAAATGTTCACTCTCTACATTTACTATGAAGCTTGCAAAAGACAATTTTTGGGAGTGCTACCAGGCTTCCAAATTCTCTTTGTTTGGGTTTCTTGCACCTTTCATTCAGACAGTAGGTTACATAGGTTATGGTTGTACAATGCGACTCTGTTTCCTGGGCCGCAATTAATATTGATCCATAGTGGCCATTTGGTTTTTTCACTGTTTTATGGCCCTTTTAGCCATAAAGATATTTTACTTATATAACAGTATACAACTGTAAAATAAACAAATATTTCCATATTTTTCTTTTTATATATTTGTTTCTATGGTTAGAAAACCATTACCAAAACCCCAAATTTATGGCCTATTATTATTATTATTATTTTATTTTATTTTATTTATTTATTTATTTTTTTGAGACGGAGTCTCGCTCTGTCGCCCAGGCTGGAGTGCAGTGGCGCGATCTCGGCTCACCGCAAGCTCCGCCTCCCGAGTTCACGCCATTCTCCTGCCTCAGCCTCCTCAGTAGCTGGGACTACAGGCGCACACTGCCACACCCGGCTAATTTTTTGTATTTTTAGTAGAGACGGGGTTTCACCATGTTAGCCAGGATGGGCTTGATATCCTGACCTCGTGATCCACCCGCCTCTGCCTCCCAAAGTGCTGGGTTTGCAGGAGTGAGCCACGGCACCCGGCCTATTTTTTTTAATTTTTATTTAATCTCAGGGGTGCATGTGCACATTTGTTATATAGGCAAATTGTGTGTTCTGGTAGTTTTGTGTACACATTATTTCATCGCCCAGGTAATAAGCATGGTACTTGATAGGTAATTTTTTTTTTATTCTCACCTTTCTCCTACCCTCAGGCCTTGAGTAGGCCCTTGTGTCTATTGCTGTCTTCTTTGTGTCCATATGTATTCTACGTTTAGCTCCCACTTATAAGTAAGATATACGGTATTTGGTTTTCTGTTTCTGCATTAGTTTGTTTAAGATAATGGGCTCCATCTCCATCCATGTTTCTGCAAAGGACATGATCTTGTATTTTTATGGCTTTATAT
Organism: Homo sapiens; assembly: GCF_000001405.40. Taxonomy (NCBI): domain Eukaryota; kingdom Metazoa; phylum Chordata; class Mammalia; order Primates; family Hominidae; genus Homo; species Homo sapiens. Next base: position 88,590,420 of record NC_000023.11, on the reverse strand, counting down.
TATTCCCTCATGTATATGTACCACATTTTCTTTATACAGTATACCATTGATGAGCATCTTGACTGATTCCATGTCTTTGCTATTTTGAATAGTGCTGCAATTAAAATACACAGGCAGATGTCTTTATGGTACAACAATTTATATTCCTTTGAGTATATACCCAATAATGGGATTGCTGTGTTAAATAAGTTGTGTTTTAGTTCTTTGAGAAATTGCTAAACTGCTTTCTACAGTGGCTGAGCTAAGTCACATTTCCACCAGCACTGTACAAGCATTCCCTTCTCTCTGTCACTTTGTCAGCATCTGTTATTTTTTAAATTTGTAATAGCCTTTCTGGCTGGTGTGAGATTATATCTCATTGTTATTTTGATTTGTATTTCTCTAATAATTAGTGATACTGAGCATTTTTTTATATGCTTATTGGCCGCCTGTATGTCTTCTTTTGAAAAGTGTCTGTTTGTGCCAGGCGTGGACCACGCCTGTAATCCCATCACTTTGGGAGGCCAAAGTGGGAGGATCACGAGGTGAGGAGATGGAGACCATCCTGGCTAACATGGTGAAACCCCATCTCTACTAAAAATACAAAAATTAGCCAGGCATGGTGGCGGGCACCTGTAGTCCCAGCTACTCAGGAGGCTGATGCAGGAGAATGGTGTGAACCCGGGAGGTGGAGCTTGCAGTGAACCAAGATCACACCACTGCATTCCAGCCTGGGTGACAGAGTGAGACTCTGTTTCAAAAAAACAACACCAAAAAAAGGAGAACAGTGTCTGTTCATGTCTTTTGCCCACTTTTTCACAGAGTTGTTTTTTGCTTGTTGATTTAAGTTTCTTCTAGAGTCTGCATATTAGACCTTTGTCAGAAGCATAGTTTGCAAATATTTTCTCTGATTTTGTGTTTTCTGTTTACTCCATTGATAGTTTTTTGTTTCTTTCTTTGTTTTGCTGTGTTTGTTTTGCTGTGCAGAAGCACTGTAGTTTAATTAGGTTCCATTTGTCAATTTTTATTTTGTTTCAGTTGATTTTGGCATCTTCATCATAAAGTCTTTGCCAAGGTCTATAACCAGAATGGTATTTCCTAAGTTTTTATCAAAGATTTTTATAGTTTTATGTTTTATATTTAAGTCTTTAATCCATCGTGAATTGATTTTTGTATATGGTGAAAGAAAGGTCCCTGTTTCAATCTTCTGCATATTGCTAGCCAGTTACCTCAGCAACATTTATCAAATAGAGAGTATTTCCCCAATTGCTTATTTTGGTCAACTTTGTGGGGAATCAGATAGTTTTAAGTGTGCGGTTTTATTTCTAGGATCTCTAGTCTGTTAAATTGGTCTGTGTGTCTGTTTTTGTACTAGTACCATGCTCTTTGGGTTACTGTAGCCTCATAGTATATTTTGAAGTTAAATAATGTGATGCCTTCAGCTTTGCTCTTTTTGCTCAAGATTTTTTTTTTTGATATATTGGCAATTTTTATTTCAAATGAATTTTAGAAAAGTTTGTACTAATTTTGTGAAGAATGTCATTAGTAGTTTGATAGGAATCACATTTAATTTATAAATTGCTTTGGGCAGTATGTCCATTTTAACAATATTTATTCTTCCTATCCATGAGCATGGAATGTTTTTCCATTTGTTTATGTCATGTCTGATTTCTTTGTGCTGTGTTTTATAATTGTTGTAGAGATCTTCCACCTCTGTTGTTAACTGTATTTCTAGGTGTTTTATTTGTGTGTGTATGGCTATTGTGAATAGAACTGCATCCTTGATTTGGCACTCAGCTTGGACATTATTGTTGTATATATATGCTACTCATTTTTGTATATATATATTTTTTTTTTTGAAACAGAGTCTCACTCTGTCGCCCAGGCTGGAGTGCAGTGGCACAATTTTGGCTCACTGCAACTTCCACCTCTCGGGTTCAAGCGATTCTCCTGCCTCAGCCTCCAAAGTACCTGGGATTACAGGCACCTACCACCACACCTGGCTAATTTTTGTATTTTTAGTAGGAACAGGGTTTCATCATGTTGGCCAGGGTGGTCTCAAACTCCTGGCCTCAAGTGATCCACCCACCTTAGCCTCCCAAAGTGCTGGGACTACAGGCATGAGCCACAGCACCTGGCCCAAGTATGTTAGTTTCTGTATCTTGGAACTCTGCTGAAGTTGTCTATCAGATCAAGAAGATTTTGGTGGGAGATTTTGGGGTTTTCTAGGTATAGAATCATATAGTCTGCCAATAGTGATAGTTTTACTTCCTCTCTTCCTGTTTGGATGCCTTTTATTTCTTTCTTTTGCCTGACTGCTCTGGCAAAGGCCTTCAGTACTATGTTGAATACGAGTGGTGAGAATATGCATCCTTGTCATGTTCCTATTTTCAAGAAAAATTCTAGCTTTTGCCCATTCAGTATGATGTCTACTGTGTATTTTTTATAGATGATTCTTATTATTTTGAGATACATTAAATGCCTCATTTGTTGAGAGTTTTTAACATGAAGCAATGTTGAATTTTGTTGATATCCTTTTCTGCATTTATTCAGATCATCTTGTGGTTTTTAGTTTTAGTTCTCTTTATTTGAGGAATCAAATTTGTTAATTTGCATATGTTGAACCAACCTTGCATTCCAGTGATAAATCTGACATGACCATGGTGAATTAGCTCTTTGATATGCTGGATTCAGTTTAATAGTATTTTCTTGGGGATTTTAGCATCTATGGTCATCAAGGATTTTGGCCTGAAGTTTTGTGTTTGTGTTTCTGCCAGGTGTTGGTATCAGAATGATGCTGGTCACATAGAATAAGTTAGGAAGGAGCCCCTTCTTCTCAATTTCTTGGAATAGTTTTAGAATGAATGGTACCAGCTCTTCTTTATGCATCTGGTAAAATTTGGCCGTGAATGTATCTGCTCCTGGGAGTTTTGTTGGCAGCCTTTTTATTACTGATTTGATTTCTGAACTCATTATTGGTCTCTGTTCAGGATTTCCCTTTCTTCATAGGATATTACCACTGACCCAACAGAACTACAAAAAACTGCAGAGGCTATTATGAACACCTCTATGCAAACAAACCAGAAAACCTAAAAGAAATAGATAAGTTCCTGGAAGCATACGATCTTCTAAGATTGAAGCATGAAGAAGTCATTTTGGAGTAGGTTGTTTAATTTCCTTGTAATGGTATGGTTTTCAGTGATCTTTTTAGTATTTGTTTCTATTTTTATTACGCTGTGCCTCATGAGCATGGTTGGTATGTTTTGGCTTTTTATAATTTATTGAGAATTGTTTTACAGCTGATTGTGTGGTTGGTTTTAGAGTATGTGTTATGTGAAGATGAGAAGAACATATATTCTGATTTTTGGGGTAGAGAGTTTTGTAGGTGTTTGTTAGGTCCACTAGCTCAAGTGTCAAATTTCGGTCTTGAATATCTTTGCTAATTTTCTGCCTCAATAATCTAATATGGTCAGTAAGGTGTTGATGTCCCTGGCTATTATTGTGTGGTTATCTAAATCTCTTCAAAGGTCTCTAAGAACTTGTTTTATCAATCTTGATGCTCCTGCATTTGGAGCATATATATTTAGGATAGTTAGGTCTTCTTGTTTAATTGAGCCCTTTACCATTATGCAGTATTACTCGTTTCTTTTGTGATTATTGTTGGTTTAAAGTCTGTTAGGTCTGAAATTAGAATAATGGTCCCTGCTTTGTTGTTGTTGTTTTCCAATTGCATGGTAGATTTTTCTTCATCCCTTTTCTATGAGCCCAAGAGTGTCACTGCATGTGAGATTGGTCTCTTGAAGGCAGCATGGATATTGTTTCTTTATTCAACTTGCCATTCTGTGCCTTTTAATTGGGACATTTTAGCTTGTTTACACTCAAGGTTAATCTTGACATGTGGCAGATTTGATGATGTCATCATGTTGTTAGCTGGTTGTTATGCATAGTTGATTGTGTGCTTGCTTTCAGAGGGTCAATTGTCTATGCATTTAAGTTCATTTTTGTTGTGGGCAGTAATGGTCTTTTGTTTCCATATTTAGTACTACCTTAAGGACTTTTTGTTAGGCAGGTCTGGTGATAATGAATTCCCTTAACATTTGCTTGTCTGAATGGTACCTTATTTCTTCTTCATTTATGAATATTAGTTTTATAGGATATGGAATTCTTGATGGGAGATTGTTTTCTTTAAGAGTACTGAGTATTGGCTCTCAATCTCTTCTGTCTTGAAAAGTTCACTATTAGCCTAATAGGGTTCCCTTTGTAGATGATCTGCCCCTTCTTCCTAGCTGCCATTAGTATTTTTCTTTCATTTTGACCTTCTACAATCTGATGACTGTGTGTCTTGGGAATGGTCATCCTGTGTAGTATCTCAAAGAGGTTCTCTGCATTTTCTGAATTAGAATGTTGGCCTCTGTGGCGAGATAGGGAAAATTTTGGTAGACAATATCTTCAAATATGTTTTGCAACTTGTGTGCTTTCTCGCACTCTCTTTCAATGAATTATATGCTTGTCATTTCGACTAATTCAGCCTGGTTTAAGAAACATCACTGGGGAAGTAGTGCAGTCATTTGAAGGTTAGAAGACACTCTGGCTTTTTGAGTTGCCCAAGTTCTTGTGCTGATTCTTTCTCATCTTTGTGGGCTGATATTTCTTTTATCTTTGAAGGCACGGTCCTTTGGATGATTTTTTTTCTTTTTTGCTTTTATTTTCTTTGCTGTTCTTGGGGTTTTGATTGTGAAATAAGGTGTGTTCTGTGAACTGGCTTTCATTCTCAAAAGATCTCACAGGGCCAAGCCTGAGATCATCACTCTTGGGCTGCATGCTCAAACTCTGGAGGGATGGTGCCAAGTCTTGGCTTTGCTCTTTGGTCCTGTGATGTTAGAAGCCTATTGTTCTGGAGGGGCCAAGGTGTTCCTGGTTCTTTGGCCTCAACACCCTAATGACACATGTCAGCCAAGGCACTTCGTAAGGGTAGTGGCAGTGGGATTTTTGCTCACTTGTGTGTGCCAGCAGCCATGGCAGCACAACGGGGTACACATGTGTTGGCTGGGACAGGCCACTGGTGGGAGCCTTTGCCTTAATTTTCATAGTTGCTGTATGCTAGAAAAATATTTTGGTGTTGTATTTTGGGCTGTGATCCTGTAGGAGGGGCTTATGAATATTACCCAGCAGATCAGCTCTCACTCTACTGCACAGCTTTTTTGGGTTTTGGTGCAGTTGGCAGTAGTGCTCTGTGGTAGAGGGGGAAAGAGATGACTCCCTCACCTAGACCACTTCTTAGCCTTGGAGGAGCCCCCTCTGATTAGTGGCTTTGGGCCCACATTTCTTTTTTGGGGTGTTCTGTTCCACGAGGCTCCATCAGGCAGGGACAACTGTTTGCAGACCAGCCGTATCCTTGCAGTTGTCAGCCCTGTGGAGGCTGGCACTCCTCTCTCTACCACTGGCCTGTGAACCTGGGGATCTCAAGTCTCTCAGTGATCCAAGAGTGTGGGCCCATCCTTGCTTAAGCACCACACAAGACAGCAAGTCCCACTTGGCTAGGAGATTTGGGTGTGGCTGCGGTCACCTAATCTGTCCACATGCTTCCCAGGGGAACATGGGGTTGTGCCTGCCCACAGAGTTCAGGCAGAAACAGTACCACTGGACTGGAAGCTCTAGTGGATGTGGCCCGTCTGGTTATGAGAGGCAGACGTGAGTGTATAGTTTCTCACCCAGCCATCCAGGTGTTTCCAAGGATAACAGGGTGCTGTGACCCTTACAGAATTCAGGCAGAAGTAGGACTGCTGGGCTAGAAGCTCTATCAAGTATTGCCCACCTGGCTACAAGAGGCAGGGGTGGGTGGAGTTGCTCACGGTGACATCTGGGTGTTTCCCAGGATAGCAGGAGGATGTACTCACTGGCTGAGTTGAAACAGTAGCGGGACTACTGGGCTGAAAGCTGTAGCAGGTGTTACCCTCCTGGCTAACAGCAGCTGAGTGAGTGAGGTCACCTGCCCTTTTGTCTGTTTCCCAGAACAACAGGGTGGAGCTACTGGCTGAGTTTAGGCAGAAGTGGGACCACTGGGCTGGAAGCTAGTGCGGAGCCTTGTTTGGCAAGGGAGGGTGGAGTAATCTTACTGTCCCCAGGTGTCATGACTGTTGTGTCTATTGGGGCTATGGCACTGGTGCAGGTCTATTTCATGGTGCAAGACTTGTAGAGGTCTCCAAGGACTTGAGAGTTGCCTCTGCAAAACACCTGGGTGGCTCTCTGTACAGTTTGTAAGTGTGGAGGGGTTTGGGAAGGCGGGGGGATTCTCCAGTTCTCAGTCTTGCACAGGTCCCTGTGGAGAATGTGAATCTGCCAGCGGGGCTCTCACTTACTCACCCTTTCCCATGTTGGGGAGTTTCTCCTAGCTCCACATTGATTCCAAATAGGCTGTGCCCAGCTTTACTCCTTTCTGCTCCCTGTATCCCCTTGCTGCCTTTATTGATCCTGATTTGAATTCTTAGATGACTGGCATATAGGGTCAGTGTTCAGTAGCTTAAGTATTATATTTTTTCTATGAGAGTGGCACACATGAACTGCTTTTAGTCTGCCATCTTGACCCAACCCACCACACAGTAGTTCTTAGGACAATTATAATGGCTGTCATCATTGTGGGATACAGAGCAGTTTGGAAAAAGGTAATATGTTTCAAAGATTTATGTTTTATTTTATTCAGTTTTGCATCTCTAGCAAATGTCACACTGGTGTTCTGCAAGAAATAATGTTTGCTTTTTTTCCTATCACCTGCACGCCTACATACTGTGCTATGATTAACATGTCTACAAATTACTTCTGCTTAGAGAGGAAGCTTAGAATATTGGAAAATTCAATGATTTGAAACTAGAGAACTTAAACTGAAATCCTTGCTCTGTCACATTCAGTTAATTATTTAACCTCTCAGAACCTTAACTGTTTAAATAATAAAACAAGCAAAAATAAAACCGAGTTTTTAGTCTTCACGATGGCTGACTAGGGACATTACATGCCAGTTCTCCCTTGAAGAAAGATAAATATTAACAGTGAATGGACAAGTTTAGAGTGGAAAATGAGTAGAGGAGAGCCAGGATCTGTTGGAGCACCCATCTGAAGAAGCTTGGGCGCACAGAAAGGAAAAGCAGTAAAATTCTGGCTGGGATCAAACCCCAAGGAGCTCAGAGCTCAGCAGAAAGGGTAGATGGGAGTTCTTCTCTCCTCCTCTCATCCCTCTGTCAATCTGACTGCTGAGCTGTTGAGGACCCCCTCTTCCCCCATGACCCAGGCAACACTATCAGTTGTGAACAGAGATCTTTCAGGGAACAAAGAATCAGGGGGCCACCTTGCACAGACATGCCACACTTCCCCCTCAGACCCAGGTTGAGACAGTAGGTGCCATACCACAGTGCACACTTAGTGCCACTGCCCTGCTCAGGATCTTCCATCCTTCGGCTTCTGCCCTACCAAACCACGTGCAGACACACCCCACTCTGACTTTGGCAAACAGGGCACTCAAGGTTCCCCAGATAGTTGTGAGTTCCCTGGAGATATAACTCTTGGCCTGGAGTGTTCATGGGGAGGAGGAGCGAACAGCTCAACAAAGCCCACCACGGGTCAAAGACTTCAATTTCTTTTTCTTTTTCTTTTTTTTTTTTTTTTTTTTTTGAGACAGAATCTTGCTCTGTCGCCCAGGCTGGAGTGCAGTGGCATGATCTCGGCTCACTGCAAGCTCCGCCTCCCGGGTCCACACCATTCTTCTGCCTCAGCCTCCCGAGTAGCTGGGACTACAGGCGCCTGCCACCACGCCCGGCTAATTTTTTGTATTTTTAGTAGAGACGGGGTTTCACCGTGTTAGCCAGGATGGTCTCGATCTCCTGACCTTGTGATCCGCCCACCTCGGCCTCCCAAAGTGCTGGGATTACAGGGGTAAGCCACTGCGCCTGGCCAAAGGCTTCAATTTCTAAAGGAGGACACACCATAGCCCAGGGATGGTTGTGGAGATGGGGTCATTTTTCACCCACCCCTGCTCCTTAGGGAACTGTTGCAAATGCTGCAATGTCTCTTCCCATTGGAGCCCTACGAGCATGCACAGAAAGAGGCTACTTTTCATGCTTCTCTGGTTGCCTCATCCCCAATGAAGGCAAGCTCATATTGGGAGAGGGCATGTTTTGTGAGTCTCTGGTGTCTTCATTCATGCAGAGGATGAGTACATGCCGTGTAATAGCCTACCTGCCAGCTTTTACTCTTAAGCACCATATACTGGACTGCAGCCTGAATTACACCATAATAGAAAAATGCATTGCTACAACAAACAGCATCTGAGAAAGCCACTGCATGAACCTGTCTGCAACCAACAAACATATGGTTTGCCCTGTGAAAGCAACCAGAAATGAAGACAATCAGTTATACAAGACATTCGCCACAGTCACAACCTCAATGGAAAAATTGATAAAAAAATTAAAAAGCTCCATCTAAACAGCAAATTCAAAAAAAGAAACATCAGTTCCCTCAGATGAAAAGGAATCAGCACCATAGCTATGGCAATACAAAAAGCCACAATGTTTTGTTACCTCCAAATTATCACGTTAACTCTATGACAGGATGACATATCTCAAATGACAAATATACAATTAAGAATATGGATGGCAAGGAAACCCAATGATATCCAAGAGAAGGTTGAAATCCAATAGAAAGAAGGCAGAAAAGCAATCCAAGATATGAAAGATAGTATAGCCACATTAAAAAAGAACACAACAGAATTTCTGGAATTGAGAAATTAACTACAGAAATTTCGAAACACAATTTGAATACTTGAAAATAGACAACACCAAGTAGAAGAAAGAATTTAACAGCTCAAAAATTAGCTCTTCAACATAGATAAAAATAATAAAAATCTGAACAAAGACTTTGAGAAATACTGGATTATGTAAAGTGACCAAACCTATGACGTATTGGCATTCCTGAGAGAGAAAAGAAATTAAGAAAAGTGAAAAACATAGTTGATGACATAATTCCAGGAAATTTTCCCAATCTTGCTAGAGAGGCCAACATCCAGATACAAGAAATTCAGAGAAATCCTGTGAGATGCTATACAAGAAGATGATGCCCAAAGCACAGTCATCAGACTATCCACGGTTGACGCTAAAGGAAGAATGTGAAAGCAGCTAGAGAAAAGGGCCAAATTATCTATAAAATAACTCCCATTAGAGTAACAGGGGACTTCTGTGCAGAAACCTTAGAAATCAGAAGAATTGTGGGCCTACTTTTAGCCTTCTTAAAGAAAAGGAATGGCAGCCAATAATTTCGTATCCTGACAAAATGAGCTTCATAAACAAAGGAGAAAAAAAGACTCTCAGAAAAACAACTGCTAATGGAATTCATCAACACCAGATCAGTCCTACGAGAGACGCTTAGGGAGTAATTTTTTAAATATAATTTAAACTTTTATTTTATATTCAGAGGATACAGGTGCAGGTTTTTTACGTGAGTATATTATGTGAGATTGAGATTTGGGCTACAAATGATTCTGTCACACAGGTAGTGAGCATAGTACCCAATAGGTAGTTTTTCAGCCCCAGCCCCCTTACCCTCTCCCTCTTCTAGTAGTCCTCAGTGTTTTTTCTTTCCATTTTTCTTTCCATACATACACAATGTTTAGCTCCCATTCATAAGTAAAAAATGCAGTATTTGATTTTATGTGTTGGCATTATTTTTTATCAGAATGATGGCCTCCAAATGCATGCATGTTTCTGCAAATAGCATTTTTCAATTCTTTTTTATGGCTGCATAGTATTCCATGATGAATATGTAGTACATTTTCTTTATGCAAACCACCATTGATGGGCACCTAAGTTGATTCTGTATCTTTCCTATTGTGAATACTGCTGCAATGAGCATACAAGTGCAGGTGTCTCTTTGGTAGAACAATTTAATTTCTTTTGGGCATATACTGAATAATGAAATTACTGAGTTTAATGGTAATTGTGCTTTTACTTTTTTTGAGAAATTTCCAAACTGCTTTCCAAAGTGCTTTTCAAACTGCTTTCCAAAATTTACATTCCTACTAACAGTCCATAAATGTTCTCTTTTATCTGCAGCCTCACCAGCATCTGTTATTTTCTATAATTTTAATAATAGCCATTCTGGCTGGTGACAGATAGTATCTCATTTTTGTTTTGATTTGAATTTCTCTGATGACTAGTGATGTTGAGCATTTTTTATGTTTGTTGGCCACTTGTATGCCTTCTTTTGGGATATGTCTGTTCATGCCTTTGGCCTACTTTTCAATGGAGATATTTTTTCTTATTTTTGAGTTAAGTTCCATAGGGATTCCTGGATATTAGACTTTTGTCAGATGTGTGGTTTGCAAATAATTTCTCTAAGTCTGTGTGTTGTCTGTTTACTCTGTTGATAGTTTGTTTGGCTGTGCAAAATATCTGTAGTTTAATTAGATCACACTGGTCAATTTTTATTTTTGTTGTGTTTGGTTTTGAAGACTTAGTCAAAATTATTTGCCAAAGCCAATATTCAGAATGATATTTTCAAGGTTTCTTCTAGGACTTTTATACTTTGAAGTCTTTCATTTAAATATTTTATCCATCTGGAGTTAATTTTGTATATGGAGAAAGGTAGGGGGCCAGTTGTATTCTTCTCCATATAGCTAGCCAGTTATCCCAGCACCATTTATTAAACAGCGAGTCCTTTCCTCATTGCTTGTTTGTGTCAACTTTGTCAAAGATGAGATGTATGTATGTGTGCAGCTTCATTTATTTCTGGGTTTTATATTCTGTTCCATTGGTCTCTATGTCTGTTTTTGTACCAGTGCAATTCTGTTTTGGTTGCCATAGCCTTATAATAGAGTTTGAAGCTGGTTAACGTGATGTCTGCAGCTTGGTTCTTTTTGCTTAGGATTGATTTGGCTATTCAGGCTCTTCGTTGGTCCTATATGAATTTTAGAATATTTTTATCTACTTCTGTGAAAAATGATGTTGGTAGTTTGACAGGAGTAGTATTAAGTCTTTAGATTGCTTTAGGCAGAATGACCATTTTAATGATATTAATTATTCCAGTTTGTGATTATGGAAGGATTTTTCATTTGTTTGTGTCATTTCTGATTTCTTTCAGCAGTGTTTTGTAGTTCTCCATTTAGAGATCCTTCATTTCCTTTGTTAGATGTATTCTTACTATTTTATTCTTTTTGTGGCTATTTTAAATGGGATTGTGTTATTTGTTCCTCAGCTTGAACATTATTGGTGTATAGAAATGCTACTGATATTTTACATTGGAATTCTACCCTGAAATTCACTGTAGTTGTTTATCAGGTCTAGGGGATTTTGTCAGTCTTCAAGGTTTTCTAAGTATAGGATCATATCATCAGTGAAGATACATAATTTGGCTTCTTTTATTCCTATTTGAATGCCATTTATTTCTTTCTCTGGCCCGCTCTCTGACTAGGACTTCCAGTACTATGTTGGATAGGAGTGATGAGCGTCATCATCCTTGTCTTGTTCTGCTTCTCAAGGGGAATCCTTCTAGCTTTTGTCTATTCAGTATAATACAGGCTCTGGGTTTGTCACAGATGGCTCTTATTATTTTAAGATATGTTTCCTCAATACCTTGTATGTTTAGGGTGTTTATCATGAAGGAATGATGAATTTTATTGAAAACTTTCTCTGCACTTAATGAGATAATCATTTATTTTTTGTTTTTAATTATGTTTATGTAGGTGAATGACATTTATTGACTTGATTACTTTAAAAAAATTGTTTTATTTCCACAGGTGTTTTGAGGAACCAGTGGTATTTGGTTACATGAGTAAGTTCTTTAATGGTGATTTGTGAGATTTTGGTACACCCATCACCCAAGCATTACATACCGAATGCAATTTATAGTCTTTTATCCCTCATCTCCCTCCCGCCCTTTCCCCCGGGTCCCCAAAGTCCATTATATCATTGTTATGCCTTTGCATCCTCATAGCTTAGCTCCCATTTATGAGTGAAAACATATGACATTTGTGTTTCCATTCCTGAGTTACTTCACTTAGAATAATAGTCTCCAGTTCCATCCAGGTTGCTGTGAAAGCCAATAATTTGTTTCTTTTTATGGTTGAGTAGTATTCCATCATATATATATACATATATACACATATACATATCACATATATACACATATATATATCACATATATAATACACACACACACATACCACAATTTCTTTATCCACTCATTGATTGATGGACATTTGGACGGGTTCCATGTTTTTGCAATTGTGGATTGTGTTGCTATAAACATGTGTATACAGGTATCTTTTTCATATAATGACTTCTTTTCCTCTGGGTAGATACCAGTAGTGGGATTACTGGACCAAAAGGACTTCTAGTTCTTTAAGGAATCTCCACACTGTTTTTCATAGTGGCTGCACTGGTTTACATTCCCACCAGCAGTATAGACATGTTCCGTTTTCACTGCATTCTCGCTAACATCTATTATTATTTTTTGACTTTTTGATCATGGAAATTCTTGCAGGTGTAAGGTGGTATCACATTGTGATTTTGATTTGCATTTCCCTGATCATTACTGATCTTGAGCATTTTTTTTCGTCTGTTTGTTGGCCATTTGTATATCTTCTTTTGAGAACTGTCTATTTGAGAATTGTCTATTTATGTCCTTAGTCCATTTTTTGATGGGATTGTTTGTTTTTTCTTGCTAATTTGTTTGAATTCCTTGTAGATTCTGGATATTAGTCCTTTGTCAGATGTATAGACTGTAAAGATTTTCTCCCACTCTGTACATTGCCTGTTTACTCTACTGACTGTTCCTCTTGCTGTGCAGAAACGCCTTAGTTTAATTACGTCCCACCTATTTATCTTTGTTTTTGTTGCATTTGCTTTCCAAACCTAAACCCAGGAGAAGAAAAGAAATAACAAAGATCAGACCAGAACTAAATGAATTTGAAGTAAACAAACTAAACAATGCAAAAGATAAAGGAAACAAAAAGCTAGTTCTTTGAACCAAGAAAAGAAGATAGAAGATCCAAATAAGCTCAATTAAAAACGAAATGGGAGATATTACAACTAGCAACACAGAAATACAAAAGTTCATTCAAGGCTACTATGGACACCTTTATGCACATAAAATAGAAAACCTAGAGGAGATGGATAAATTCCTGGATATATACCCTTCTAGCTTAAATCAGAAAGAGTTAGAAATCCTGAACAGACTAATAACAAGCAGCGAGATTGAAATGGTAATAAAAAAATTACCAACAAAAAAAGTCCAGGGCTAGCCAGATTCTCAGCTGATTTCTATCAGACACTCAAAGAAGTATTGGTACCAATCCTATTGACACTATTCCACAAGATAGAGAAAGAGGGAATCTTCCCTAAATCATTCTATGAAGCCAGTATCATCCTAATACCAAAACCAGTAAAGGACACAGCAGCAACAACAAAAAAACTACAGACCAATATCCGTGATCAACATAGATGCAAAAATCCTTAGCAAAATACTAGCTAACCGAATTCAACAGATATCAAAAAAATAATTCACCATGATCAAGTGGGTTTCATACCAGGGATTCAGGGATGGTTTAACATATGCAAGTCAATAAATGTGATACCCGACATAAACAGAATTAGAAACAAAAATCACATGATCATCCCAAAAGATCCAGAAAAAGCATTGGACAAAATCCAGCATCCCTTTATGATTAAAACCCTCAGCAAAATCGGCATACAAGGCCTCAGTGTAATAAAAGCCATCTATTACAAACCCTCAGCCAATGTAATACTGAACAGGGAAAAGTTCTCTCTCAGAGAACTGAAACAAGACAAGGATGCCAGCTCTCACGACTTCTACTCACCATAATACTGGAAGTCCTAGCAAGAGCAATCAGAGAAGAGAAATAAAGACATCCAAATCAGTAAAGAGGAGGTCAAACTGTCGCTGTTTGCTGATGATATATGATCGTATACCTAGAAAACCCTAAAGACTCATCCAAAAAGCTCCTAGAACTGATAAATGAATTCAGCAAAGTTTCAGGATATAAAATTTACACAAATCAGTAGTTCTGCTATATACCAACGGCAACCAAGCTGAGAATCAAATCAAGAACTCAACCCCTTTTACAATAACTGCAAAAAATAAAAAAGAAAATACTTAGGAATATACCTAACCAGGGAGATGAAAACTTCTACAAGGAAAACTACAAAACACTGCTGAACGAAATCATAGATGACACAAACAAATGGAAATATGTCCCATGCTCATGGATGGGTAGAATCAATATTGTGAAAATGACCATATTGCCAAAAGCAATCTACACATTCAATCCAATTCCCATCAAAATACCATCATCATTCTTCACAGAACTAGCAAAAACAATCCTAAAATTCATATGGAACTAAAAAAGAGCCCGCAAGAGCCCACATAGCCAAAGCGAGACTAAGCAAAAAGAACAAATCTGGAGGCAACATATTACCTGACTTCAAACTATACTATAATGCCATAGTCACCAAAACAGCATGGTACTGATATGAAAATAGGCACATAGACCTATAGAACAGAATAGAGAACCCAGAAATAAACCTAAGTACTTACAACCAACTAATCTTCAACACAGCAAACGAAAACATAAAGTGGGGGAAACGACACCTTATTCAACAAATGGTGCTGGGATAATTGGCAAGCCACGTGTAGGAGAATGAAACTGGATCCTCATCTATTGACTTGATTCTTATGGGAGTTCTGAACACAGAAACAATACCTGTTGCCACAAAATCACATGTAAGTACATAGCCCAGGCACTCTATGAAGCAACTACACAGTTGACATTAAAATGCAACTCTGTGACAACATTATGATGGGAACAAAACCTCATATATCAGTATTAATCTTGAATATAAATGTCCTAAGTGCTTCCCCTAAAAGACCGGGAGAGGCAAATTGAATTAGGCAGTATGAACATATTAACAATATTGATTCTTCAAATCCATGAGCATGGACTATTTTTCCATTTGTTTGTGTCATTCTATGATTTCTTTCAGCAGTGTTTTGCAGTTATCCTTGTAGCTATTTTTCACTTCCTTGATTATAAGTGGTCTCCTAGGTGTTTTAATTGTTGTGGCTATTGTAAATGGAATTGCATTATTGATTTGGTTCTCAACTGAAATGCTATCAGTGTATAGAAATTCTGCTGGTTTTGCATGTTGATTTTGTACCATAAAACTTTACTGAAGTTATTAGGTCTAGGAGTCTTTTGGTAGAATCTTTATGTGTTTCTAGGTATAGAGTTATATCATCAGTGAAGAGAGAGATAAATTGACCTCCTGGTTTCCTATTTAAATGCCTTTTCTTTCTTCCCGTTGCCTTATTGCTCTGGCTAGAACTCCCAATACTTTGTTAAATAGTAGAGAGCGTGGAAACTCTTGTCTTGTCCACAGTTATAGAGGGAATACTTCCACCTTTTTCCTGTTCAGTATGATGTTGGTTTGGGGTTTATCATAGGTGGCTCTTACTACTTTGAAATATGTCCCTTCATTGCTTAGTTTGTAGAGGGTTTTTATCATCAAAGGCTGTTGGGTTTTATTGAATTTTGTTGCATCAACTGAGATAATTTTATATTTTTTGTTTTTGATTCTATTGAATAAATGTGTGAATCACATTTATTGATTTGTGTACATTGTACAATGCCTGCATCCCAGGAAGATATCCCAGTTGATCATGGTGAATTATCTTTTGGATGTGCTGACTTATGTTGTCTCTTTGTTTTCATTTCTTTCAAGCTTTTTTAAAATTTCTGCTTTAATTTTGTTGTTTACCCCAAAGTCGCTCAGGAGCAAGTTGTTTACTTTTCATTTTCTGTGTTGTTTTCTTTTCATTTTTTGTGTTGTTTTAAGAGTTCCAATTGGTATTGCTTTATAATTTTATTTCCCAGTACTCTGAGATGATGCTTGGTATGACTTTGATTTTTTTAATTTATTGAGACTACTTTTATGGCCAACCATGTGGCCAATCTTTGAGTATGTTCTGTCTGCAGATGATAATGTGTATTCTTTAGCTGTTGAGTGCAGTATTCTGTAGGTATCTATTAAGCCCAATTTGTCAGGTGTCCATCTAAATCTGGAATTTCTTTATTAGTGTTCTGCCTTGATGATCTGTCTAAGGCTGTCAGTGGGGTGTTGAAGTCCCTCATTATTTTTGTGTGGCTGTATCTCTTTGCTTAGCTCTAGTAGTAATTCCTTTATTAGTCTTGGTGTTCTGATATTGGGTGCACATACACATATTTGCAAACTGTGCATTTGTCAAGGGACAAATATCCAGAATCTATAAGAAACTTAAATCAACAGAAAAAAAATAACCCAATTCAAAGTGAGCAATGGTCAGGAACAGACATTCCTCAAAAGAAGATATACAAGTGGCCAGCAAACAGATTTTTAAAATGCTTAACATCATTAATCAAGAGAGAAATGTGAATCAAAACCACAATGAAATACCATCTCACACTAATCAGAGTGGCCATTATTAAAAAGTCAAAAAATAACAGATGTTGGCAAAATTGCAGAGAAAAGGGAATGCTTATATACTGTTGGTGAGAATGTAAATTAGTTCAACCCCTGTGAAATGCAGTTTGAGTGATTCTCAAAAAGTAAAAATAGAAGTACCATTTGACCCTGCAATTTCATTACTTGGTATACAAGCAAAGGAAAATTAAGTGCTCTACCAAAAAGACACCTACACTTGTATTTTTAGTGCAGCAGTATTCACAATAGCAAAGGCATGGAATCAGCCTAGGTGCCCATCAGTGGTGGTTTGGATAAAGAAAATGTGGTACATATACATCATGGAATACTATGCAGCCATAAAAAATAGCAAAATTATATCCATCAGAGCAACATGGATGTAGCTGGAGGCCATTATCATAAGTGAATTAACACAGAAACAGAACAATCAATGCTGCATTGTTTTCATTTATGAGTGAGAGGTAAACATTGATATGTATGAACTAAGCATCTTTATGTATAGACATAAAGATAAAAACAACAGACACTGGAGACACCAAAGCTGTGGAAGGAGGGCTGGAGTCAAGGGTTGGAAACTACCTATTGGGTACTATATTCACTATTTGGGTGACAGATTCAATAAAAGCCCATACATCACCATCTTGCAATAGATCTATTTAACTAACCTGCACATGTACCCCCAAATCAGAAAAAGGAAGCAAAACAAGCAGACAAAACAAAGCAAATAGTTTTTACCTTAAATGGATAAAATAATCCATTGAGAAAATATGTAATGTTTAGGACATTTTTGGACACATGTAAAATGCTCAATAAATTACAAAAGTTATTCATATAATTGTCATTATCACCATCACCATCGTCATCAAAAGATTCACTGTGCGTCCTTGGGCAAGTTGCTTTGTTTTATGTGCCTCAGTTATGTTTCTTCCAAAATGAGGAAAATCCTAATACCTACGCTATAGGATTGTTGTGTAAATTGAACCAAATAATAAATGCAAAATGTTTAGTATATGTTTAGCATTTATGGATGATACAAAATGAAGGCTCACTAAATGTTAACAATAGTAATAGTACAGTTGTTTTTTTTTTTTTTTTTTTTTTTTTGAGACGGAGTCTTGATCTGTCGCCATGGCTGGAGTGCAGTAGCGAGATCTCAGCTCACTGCAAGCTCCGCCTCCCGGGTTCACGCCATTCTCCTGCCTCAGCCTCCGGAGTAGCTGGGACTACAGGCGCCTGCCACTATGCCCGGCTAATCTTTTGTATTTTTTAGTAGAGACGGGGTTTCACTGTGTTAACCAGGATGGTCTCTATTTCCTGACCTCATGATCCACCCGCCTCATCCTCCCAAAGTGCTGGGATTACAGGCGTGAGCCACCGCGCCCGGCCAGTTGTAGTTATAACCATTATGAAGCTATGGAATGATAAAATTCAGTCAAGTTTCAATGCCAGAGTGAATGTGATCAGAGTAGTGACCTAGAGCTGGTTTGCGGTGTATTGTTTGATGAAAGAAAACTCAGGTAAGAAGAAACATTGGTAACATCTGGCACTGAGAATTATAGAACAAGGGCAGTTAAATGCAGTAGAGGTAACTGGGTGTGGGAAAACTGTTAACTATTAAGAGAGAGACTTGTCTAAGGCATGGGAAGGACCTCAGACCCTAGGAGCATGGTGGAACTTACCTTTCCAAAATACAATGAAGTAATTACTTCTCTGTTCATTTTTTAATTATCTGACATCTGTGTTTTTATGTTTATCTAGATTCTCCCTAAAGATAAGCATGAAGCTTAGAGCCCAGCCACCCTCAAAAAATTGATTAAATTGGACAGAACTCTGCTTTAAAATCAAACAGAGGTGAATCCAAATCTTGCATACTCCATCTATCATCTTTATATGCTTCGTAAGTTAATTAAATATACTTAGCTTCAGTTTCCTGTTCTTTCAAATGGACATGCAACTTAATTCACAGCAGTTTTAAGTATTATATAAGATTTGTTCATGAAGTCTCAGGTGACTGGCACACAGTTCAAGTCTTTTAAATGTCTATCTCTACAATACTATATATATGGTAAAATAATTGGTACCATGATACCCAAAGATGGACTGGTAATTTGTTTTAAAAAAGACTTGTTTGCAAATTTATCTAAATAATTTCATAGAACTGATGTATGTGTTGTCATATTATTACTTCAATGTATTTTCATTTTCAGACAGTCAGTTATTACAAGGCATGTATGTAATTATATTTTGAATCACAATTGATCTTTTCGATTTTTTTTCCTTCAATGTGTGTTTTCCTTCCGTCTGGGGAGCATTTGAAAATTAATTAGGTCAGGCAATACATATCACTGGTATAATTTTATAAAATCCAGTAAATAGCTTTATAAAACATTGTTATTTTTCTCATAAACATAATGTTCTGTTTGTACCCTCAGATTAATTTATTCATTCAGAATGACCTATAATGACTTTAATAATTTTAAAATCTCACTTGTCTTATACACCATGCATCTTCACTTTTCAAGTTTCCAGTCCTAGAAATGGAAATTGTTGAATATTAAAGTAGATATTTTG
This sequence comes from Homo sapiens, assembly GCF_000001405.40. NCBI lineage: Eukaryota > Metazoa > Chordata > Mammalia > Primates > Hominidae > Homo > Homo sapiens. The sequence goes on along the minus strand of NC_000023.11, from coordinate 88,571,353 downwards.
AGCTCATCTAAACATTTATAACCTTAAGATAACAGTTTCCTTTGTTTTTCTGATTTAATTATATTTACTTCAGTGATTCTCAAAGTGTGGTCTTCGGAGTAGCAGCATTAGCAACAAATGAGAAATTGTTAGAAATGTAAATTGGTGGGCTCCACCCCAGACTTGCTGAATCAGAAACTCTTGGAATTGGGACCAATAATCAGGATTTAGCAAACTTTTAAAGTGATTCTTATGCACACAAAAGTTGGAGAATGATGGTCCAGAGTATGTTTTTGACATATATTAGAGAGAGGGTGTGTGTGTGTGTGTGTGTGTGTGTGTGTGTGTGTGTGAAAGAGAGAGAGAAAGACAGAGACAAAGACAGATATGGTTACATGCAAAATACACATCTTGGTAATATGAAAGCTCACATCTATAATTTGAATTAGAGTATGAGAGCTTACATTTATAATTCTTACTCTCTTAATAGTATGTGTTACACAAATTGCAGTTTTTTAAACTCATTTTCTAAAATTTTTATGGTAGTGTAACATCTAAACAGAAAAATATACAAATCATAAATTTTTACAATATGAACATACCCATATAACAAATGACTTAGTTGCTTGAATAATTTTATGGACTGACAGTATAATAAGACCCATTGGGTCCAGGGCCAGGTGAAGTACAGTTGTTCTGGCTGATGGAGGAACTACCTGGGAAGGGAGACTCCCACTGGGTTGGAGGAACATAAACTGGCATAAGCAATGAAACTCACAGCTAGGCCTTTGGGGCCCTATGAGTGTCAAAGTTGTAAAGGCTGCATATGAAATTCTGTATTTTACAGTACAATTGACCCTTGATGCCTTGGCATCCATTTAGACCTCAGTGATGACTAAAACTAGACTAGAAAGAGGAGAAATGCCTCCCTAGGAAGTAAAGTAGGCATTTCACCAGAAGGAGATGGCCATGTGGTGAAGTGGTCACCAAAAACATGAACCTTAGAGGTGTTCCCAACTTTATGGCCAATGAAGGCAAATGAGGGAACTTTATGGCATTGGTGTAGGGATTGTATGTTCCCAGAAGGCTTGAACTCGGACTAATCGGTCACTGTGGAAATAGCGACACTAAACAGAGGATCTATTTATCCCTTTATAACTTAAATAAAAATTCCTTTAGGAGCCCATTATGCCTCTCAATTTAATGGGTTCTCTGGGTCCTATCAAGGAGATGAAAGTTCCATTGAATGTTTTTTTTCAAGAGCTAAGGACTATGTATTGTGAGAAGTGAAGCATGTGTCTTGGTCACTATCAGTAACATCTGCAACTCCAAATGAGGTAAGGAGAGACCTGATGAGGCATTTTATTATGGCCTTACCATATGTAGATACACCTGTACCTTTGGTTTACATTTTGGGCATCTGTGAGTCAAGATATTCCCCAGACTTATCTACTACAAAGGGAGTAAATCTTGGGAAATAGTCCAAGAGTTTGTAAAAATGCTTGGACGGATCTATTTGTTGGTCAGGGTATCCAGTGCTGAGATGAATGACTTAAGTTTGACCAATTGTGTTGATGCTAGGACCCTGCTCTTTATCAGGAACATCCTGATTAAGGGGATGGAAATGGCCACATTCTACTGGGCAACATCACTTATGATGGTGCTATTAATATAGTGCATGCCATCCATAAAGTGTATACCCTCCCTTGTTATCTACCCAGTTAATCCTAAGGGGCTCCCTGGGTAGCCAAGGGGTCTCGGGGAGGAATAAGCTCCTCTAGCACCATAGCACCTATCAAGGCACTTGAGGACAGGGGAGGCTACCCCGTACTGCAAGTAGAATATGTCAGAGGGCCCATATTTGCCTCCATATTGTAGCAAGCAGTCCTTGGTAGCAGTGTCAAGCTTGTGGGACACTACTTCATGACCCAGTGAATAATGGGTAGGAGGATATGTAGGGTAAGAGGTTCAAGGTCTATGAGAACCTCTATTTCCAGAAGAATATGTGGACAGCAGTTGCCACTCTAATGGTGTATAGTGCTGAGAAGGGCAGGTTCTTGTATCAGAAGCTCATGGGCCAACTGATGGCCTTGATAAGTGGTGCAAAGACTCCATGAGGCATAATAAAGGTTGCTGAAGCCACTGCAGTGACGTAGTCTCTGGTACCTGCTGATCTCAGTCTGGACTGATCATAGAGCCTTTTGTTGGAGGAAGATTTCTTTAAGGAGGGCCCATTTGTAAATAACAACATCAGTGAGATTAAGTAAAATTTTAAGTGAGGAAAATGTTGCCTCCAGAACCCAAAATGACTAAAGATGGTGGACTTATATATCCTTAGTGAGTGTGTCAAATAAATTTCTCCAGAGGGGGGTATCATTAATGTCATGCCATACCTCTGTTCCTGGAGAAAATTAGATGCAATGAAAAAGCTGCTGAAGTATCCCATGAGTAGTCTGGTAAAGTTGTACTTTGTCCCCTTAAAGGGGAAAGCAAACTGCAGCTAAAAGGGTACTGAATCAAACATATTAGCCAAATTTATAATTTTAAAATATTTATTAGTTGCTGATTGGATAGATTTAGTAATTTTAATAATATTGGATGTTGTTATGTGGATTTATTGGATTAGAGCAATAAATTTGAATTAATCTACTGTGAGGCACCACTCATTCTTTCTTTTGTCAGTTTAACAACAGTCAAAATTGGCCTGCTAAATGAAAAGAGCAGTAACGATAATTACTACTCCACTAATTAAAGTTTCATAGAATAAATTCCAATTATTGAAGGGTCTGTTTTAACTTATATTGGGGTCATATTAACAATTTTACCTGTGGGGTCCATTGGGTCTCATTATTTCAAGCCAATTTGTAAGTGCAAAATAATTAAGTCTAATATATTTATCATTCTATCAGAACATCTCTGTCCACCATAGGGTATTTTAGGGCAATGGATGCAATGACTATGGGAAATTTAGTCGAGTTAGTAGTTCTGATTGTTAAGGTAGGGCATATGTATTTAATTTCTATTTTATATTTAGTTAATCCTCTAAGACTATAGAGAGTATGAATATCATGCTTAAATTTAGTGGGACCAATTATGTTGATCTTTGGACCCTGCCCTTTATTGGGCACATCCTGATTAAGGGGATGGAAATGGCCACATTCTACTAAGCAAAATCACTCATGATGTTGCCATTAATGTAGTCTCTGGGTCTAACTAATTTTAGCCCCAACATTGATTAAGTTCATGAAGGTTTTCTATTTGGTGCATTTTGGCAAATTTTAAAGTTAATTCACACCTATGTGAAGATGCACAAAAGCTGATCAACACCCTTTCATATTATTTTGCTGTATAAGTTATTTTAGCAAGTTTTGGATTTCCAGTTGGGTCAAACTATAGACCTTTCATTCTAATTCTGTTGATTTCTTCTCCCTATGTTCTGGTTTCTTTCTTATCTTTATTTTTCTTCTTTCCTTTCTTTTTTTCTCACAGATATATCTGGGGGGAGGAGGTTTTTTTTTTTCCCTCTGCTTCTATTCATAAGTTTCTTCCACTAGAGAGCCTCAAATCAGTATCATCAGGACTAGAGACCTTTCCCATGACAATGGTTATATGGTTTAAGAATGCCTAACTAGTCAGTTTTGAATGAACCCTTTAACTGTGCTACAAGGATACCATAGGTGTTTTCCACAATGATCTTGAAAATTAGGACTTTTATTGCAAAAGAGCCATAAGTAGGGGACCGGTGCAGTTGAAGAGTTATAGGCCCACAATCCAGAGGCTGACAGATTAAAACCACCTTCTATTATGACTCCTGCCATTTTCTGCTGCACAGTCTTTCATCTTTTGGGTACCTAGCCATGTAGTTTCTGTCTCTATCTGATTATTCAAAAATCAGGTCTTCATTTGATCACTTATCATGCGTCTCTCTGAGTAGTTATAAGAAAAGAGGTGAGGGGGCAATAGAAAATTCTCCTACTCCTCTGAGAATGCCCCAGTCGATCTCTTCAGAAATCGGGTCCAGAGATAATAAAGCTATTTTGTCTATGGCTTAGATGAGGGCCACAAAGCCTTGTGATCACAAGATTAGCATTTTGTTTGCTGTTTTGCAGCAACATTGATCAAAGCCCAGGTGCACTGACCAGGAGTTTTACATTGGAGAACAGCTGAATAGCAAACTCTCCTCTACATGTTTTTTCTGATCAGTGTTGGAAAACACGATATTATGAATGTGTAACTTGATACCTTTGATGTTCAGGAGTGCACTCGTGAAAGCATCAAGGAAAGCAACAACAACACAGGAGGTGGGAAAGGACCCAACCTTTGCCTGAACAACAGTCACTCTTACAAGGAAATCAGAAAATCGTTCTTAATTCTTTTCTCATTGGTAACCAGGATTTTGCCTTTCTCAAGCACTTAGGAGGTAAGCACTGGGCTATGTGCATGTTTTGGGGAGGTATTTTCTCTACTAATGGATGGCCAGGTGATCACCCCAAATAATTTCTCATCAACAGCCTACATGCAATACACTGGAATCTTTATCCTTCAGGGCCTTGGCTTGATAGTCCACCAAGGGGGCAGCCAGTTCCAGACATGGTGTTCTTGTGGTCCCTACTACTAATGGCATATCAGCTTGCCATTGTCCATTATACAACCTTGTTGGTAGTCCCTCTGCCTTAGAATGAGTGGTGGAAGTCCCAGAGACCATCTGCCAGACACAGGCCCCACATGTTGTCATTTCATGCCAGCATACAACTAACAATAGCTATCTCCTCAGTAGTGAGAATGACGCTTTAGGTGGAAGGAGGTGCCAGTACTTGAGAGAAACCATAGAACACAATGCAAATCCAAAGTGCAAGCTGGCAGTTCCATCCCAGACAACCTTCACGGTATTAGGAACTTATTCTTTGGAAAAGAGCAGTTAATTAAATCTGTCCACATGTTCTTGGTCCTGACTGAGCCATTTGGTTTGTGAAATAAATTGTTCTGATCACCTACTGTTCACCCCATTGGTGAAAGAGGGATCCCATTCCCTAACAGTACAAGACTGTTGAACACAGACACCTGACACTAGACAGATGAGATAAACACCTGTTTATTAGTTACATCTGTTTACAATCTGTGGCAGTAGAAGACCACACACCATACAGAGCCACAAGGAGGGTGACACTGGGTAACAGAGTAAAAGAGAAGGCCTACAGAAAGCCTTCTTTCTAATAACAGGAGGACGGGGTGCTCCTTAGTCCCTGTGTAAAGATGTGATTGGCTTCTTTGAATAATTTTGCCGTTTGTCAAATAACTGAAACCTGTTAGGTCAAGGACTGAGTAGGGTGCAGCTGATTTGGCCAATGAGGAAACATTCCTGGTGGGAAACTTTCCCACTGTGTGGGGAGCCATATCAGGTTGGGAAAACACATGGCTAGGACTTTGGGACCCTGTGAAACTCAAAGATGTCAAAGTAGCACTTGAAATTATAGGACTGACAAAACAGAATGTCCTAATAAATTACCACGGACTTGGTGCTTAAAACAACAGAAATGTATTCTCTAACAGTTCCGGTGGCTTCATGTTCAACATCAGTATCACTGGGCAAAAATCAAGGTGTGGGCAGGATCACACTCTGGAGGCTCTAGAGGAGAATATTCCCTGTCCTGTCTACGTCTCGTGGCTGCCTGCATTCCTTTGCTTGTGGCTGCACTGCTCCAATTTCTGCCTTCACATTGCTTTCACCTATTCTGTGTGTGTGGTGGTTTAATCTCTCTCTGCATCTCTCTTATAAGGAAAGTTGTGATTGAATTAAAGGCCACACTGATAAACTAGGATAATCTCCCCTACTTCAAGATTCTTAACCTAATTACATCTGCAAAGGACCTTTCTCTTATAAAGTAACATTTAGAGATTCCAAGGATTCAAACCTGATATCTTTGGGTGGTCATTACTTATACTGCAAAAAATTTGGGTCATTTAAAAAATCTGTTCTAACAATCTCTGACTTTAAATTCCTGTGTGTAAACATTTACACTAATGTAATAATTGGTATGTTCAGATTTAGATATACCATTTTATTATTTGTTTTCTATTTGTTTCTTGTGATTTTTGTTGCAATATTTCCTTGTACTCTGTTTTTGGGGGTTATTTAAACATTTGTTCTTATTCCACTATAATTTATCTAATCTAATATAATTTTAACTGTATCACTTTGTATAATTTTCAGTGGTTCCTCTAAGGATTAAAAAATAAATACACACTTTTTACAGTATATTTAAAATCAATATTTTAAAACTGGAATTGGAACATTGATACTTTGTCATATTTAGGTCTTCTTAACCGTCCCCACTTTATGGTAAAATTTTTTGTAAACTTAGTTATCTTCTCTGATTGGCGTCATTAAAATAATAAGATTTTGAAACTTCTAATCTATAGATGATAAGCCCCTTACCATGGTCTTCTTTGATTTATCTCAAAAATGTTTTGTAGTTTTCAATGTAGCAAGCTTGCATATATTTCTTTAAATTTATTCAGAAATGTTTGATGTTTTATGATGCTATTATAAAAGGTGTCATATTCTTTTAAAATGTATGCTTTATTTAATTGTTACTCATATATTAAAAAACAATTTATTTATATTCACTTCTATGGAGCAAGCTTGCTAAATTTACCTGTGAATGCAAATAGTTTTCCTATAGAATCTCATGAATTATCTATGCACAGAAGTACATAATCTTCTAATAAAACCATTTAAAAGTCTTTGCCCTATTGTATTTTTATTCATTTTACTTATGTTTTCTCCTTGTTTTACTATGAATGATACAGTGGGCAAGTTTGTCCTTTTCTGGATCTCAAGAGATAATCTTTCAATATGTCTTCAACATATTACCTACTATTTTGTTTGTAGTAGTGCTTTACTGGGTTAAGAAAGCTTTCTTCCATTTCTTGTTCCCATAAAGTCATATATCATAAATGAGTGTTTCCTTTTATCTAATATTTTTGCATCTATTGAGATATGTATTTGGTTTTTCTGTTGTGGTTGTTGATGATGTAGTAAGGCATCCTTTTTTTAAATGTTAGACAACTTTATTATTTCTGAAAAAAATTATATTCATCATGATGCATGACCCAATTTATATATAACAAGTTTATATAGGTATTAGAGGAGCTAAATTTTATTTAGAATTTTGGCAACTATTTGAATAAAAAAGCTGATTTTCATACTTTGCTATATTCTAGTTGAGTTTTGTTATCAAACTTATTTTGACTTTATAAAAAGAGCTGATAAGCTTACCCTGAATTTTTTGGAAGAATTTATTTAAGATTGACATTTTTTTTAATATTTGGAAGTTGGAAGAATTCTCTGGTGAGTTCACTCTAGTCTATTTTGTTTATTGAAATTTTTTTGTAGTAGATTCAATTTCTTTCATGGGCATATGACCCTTCGCATTAATTTTTTTCTTGTATTAGCTACTGGAAGTTTTCTCTTGCCAGGTGTAGACTTTGTGAAATTAAATAATTCAAACTTAATGCTGTTAGAACTTTAAATTATCTGAGCTTTGAAGGAATGTGACTTAGTGGCCTGAGTCACCTAGCATGTAGTTGCAATTTCTGCTTCTCCGATTATGCATTAATTCCTCTCTTTATTCTTGTACTGTAGATGATTACAAAAAGCCAGAGCTAGATAGATCCACTTCAAGTCTATTACCCCTCTTTATGGAATGTTAAAGCAATCTTCCTTAGAATGCAGCAAACTGTAATCAATCAAATTTCTGTAATATATGTATTGGACTCCTGTGGATACTGTTGCAACCTTGTTAAATTCTTATATGTCTGCCTATATACGTAAAACCTTAACTTCTTCACTGACCCCATTTATTTGGATTCTGTGTTACCTGGGTTTTTATCCTCAAGCTTTGTGCTCAAATAAACTCTATCATATATATATACATAGCACAAGTGCAGATTTCTTACATGTATATGCTGCATAGTAGTGAAGCTTCTGGTGTACACATCATCGGAATAGTGAACATTGTATGCTACAGATAATTTTTCAACCCTCACCCACCTCTCATGCTCCCATCTTTTGTAGACTCCAGTGTCTATTTTTCTATTCCATATGTCCATGTATACAAATTGTTTGGCTCCCACTTATAAGTGAGAGCATACTGTGTTTAATTTTCTTTTTCTGGGTTTTTTCACTTAGGATAATGGTCTCCAATTCCATCCATGTTGCTGCAAAAGACACGATTTCATTTTTTTAATGGCTAAGTAGTATTCCATGGTATACATGTATAACGCATTTTCTTTTTCCGATCTTCCACTGATGGGCACTTAGGTTGGTTTTATATCTTCGCTATTGTGAATAGTGCTGCAATAAACCTAAGAGTGTGGGTGTCTTTTGATATAATGATTTATTTCGCTTTGGGTATAACCCCAGAACTGGGATTACTGAATCAAATGGCAGTTCTATTTTTATTTTGAGAAAACTCCATACTGTTTTCCATTAAGGTTATACTAATTTACCTTCCCACCAGCAGTGTATAAGCATTCCCTTTTATCTAAACTCTTGCCAACATTTGTTGTTTTCGGACATTTTAATTATTGCCATCTGAGTGATGGTATAAGATTGTATCTTATTATGGTTTTAATGTGCATTTCCTCAAGTTTTGTGCTCGAATAAACTCTGTACGTAATCATATTTTCTGAATCTAATTACGTTTGACAATTTCAACTAAATTTTTAAGTTTATTCACATAAATGTGTGAACAAATGAGTTTATAGTATCCTTTTAATATTTTTTTCTGTGTCTGTTGGATGCGTAGTGAGGTATATACATTTCTTTCTTCTCCATCAGTGTTGCTCAAAGTTTACCAATTTTATCCTCCTTAAAAAAAGCAGAGGCTCTGTTACTTATTTTATGTTTTAGGTTTTTTAAAAATTGTAGTTTTTGGACTTCAGGTGCAGATACATTTTTCTTTTCATTAATGCCTTTTCAGGCAGTCTCTTATTCAATTACTATTCCTTCCATAATTCAGTTGATTTAATCAAATATGCAAAGGACTTTAAAGGGAAACCTATCTTTTTTTCCTGCTGATAATTAACTTCTTAAATTACGTTTTAGTAGGTGTTATATGAATGTTGGTTTTATCGTGGTTATTAAAACTTATTATACCAAATGGTATAAAGTTTATAGTATAAGTTAAAGAAATATTAAATGTGTAACCTATTTTACAAGTATTATTGTTTTGTAATAATTAATTAATACCTTTATAGCACTGTTATTAGCTTACTTAAGAGTTTTCTTATGACTGAAATCACCACAGAGAAAAATCATAAATTTCTGATATTGAAATGTCAAAAATCTCTGTCAAATAGGATTTTTTCAGACCTCATGATTAAGAATCAAGGTTTGTAAATGAGACGTATGTCTGAAGTTAATATGCTATTTGCTTACAAAAGAAAATAAGTAGCAAATACTAACATTTAAACTTCAAAAGATAGAATATTAGGTTGTTTATGTGATAGCACTATATATTGGGATTCTATAACTCAATATCTTCTAGAAGCTGTTTTGTTCTATACTTAAGTAAAAGTAAATTTTAAAGCAATTTCAGTTTAATGAATGTAAGTGACAATACATAGAAAAATAATTTAACAATTTTTTTATTTAGAAATTAAGAATTTTTGAGATAATCTCATGCAATACAGTCACCTCAGAACATTAAGAAGCTAAAGGAGGCACTGTTCTTCAAGTTGCCCACTTGGATGTCTTCCAAGTGCACTTTCCTTTCTTTCCTGCTCTAAAGCTTTTTAATAAACTTCCACACCTGCTCTGAAAAAAAAAAAAAAAGCTAAGGGAGACAACTAGTCCAATTTCATTCATATAGTATACTTCTCATCAGCAAGTAGTCATTTATTCAACCACTATTTATTGGTTTTTTAATATGTGCCTGGCACTATGCTCAGCATTTTTATATATGGCATTTTATTTAATTTATTCCTCACATAAAATAGATTATAATGATTTGTGATGAAGAAAATGAGGCCAGAGGAGTTAACCAAATAGGATCACACCTTTGTTAAATCTCATAATTATTTCTACCAGCAAATATATTTTACTTTGCATTTTATCATACTCTGTGTGAATGTGTATAGATGATGATAATTAAATAGTATAAAACATTAATTAAATATTATTATTTAAGTCAATTGCATTGGTCAATCAATAATAAAACAGTAAATCTAAGCTGAGTTTCTGATGTTTCAAGACCACTTTTCTTAAGGACTGTGGTTTACAAATTGTAGACTGCTAAATGTAATTTAATTGACCGTTTCCTTCAAAGTGACCAAGTATTTACAATTGCCTGCTTTTTACCCTGTGCTTTGTCACCAACCTTTGATTAGGCTTCTCTTTCATCTTTAGGACCCTGAACTCTGCTAACTTGCAAGCCGGAACAAGCACAAAAACAAACAAACACAGTGGAATGTAACCTCTTTCCCTGGTTTTCCTGAGCATAGCAGGACAGTTTTTGTCAGAACGCATTGGTTATTTTCCCTTGTTTGTCCAACTTCTCCTCTAATGGTCGTGCTTATCTCTGCTTGTCTCCTTTTTACCCTATTAAGGAAAATCACTTTTCTGCTTGATTTTGAAATGTTCACAGAGTTTTTGAGATCTGGAGCAGTCTCCCATTGGAATAGTCTTTCTTTTTAACTGAAGTGTCCTCCTATCTAAGTACCTGTTTGTCTTTATCTGACAGAAGTGTAAAGAAGCCCTTGAAATTGTAAAGGGATTTTAAATGGCTTTAGTTTTGCTGTATTTATACTGTCTAGGGAATACAAACTATATTTTTCTAGGATAAACCGGAAGGGCAGATAGGAAAGAAATACTGGTACCAAAGTTGAAAAACAAAATTACAGCAAATGTAGTTATAGATCTAATTGGCTTTTGTTTGTGATTCACGAATAAAGGCAGCCTTTATTCTAAAAAAATAGAATGAGAGCTCTCAATGGACAATAGCAGAACACTGGATTCTTTAAATTGGGAGCAAGGAAACAGAACAAAGAAAAAGAAATCTAATTTGTTAACATCAGGTTACTTTTTTGTAATGAATAAAGCAGAGGAAATTTTCTTATTATTGACTGAGGTAAACTGGAATCTCTTTTCTTCAAGAAAAAAAAAAGGTCACTTTTGATATCCATTTGTTAGAGTAGGTAGCTAGTAAGGCATGAGCAGGGCAGGAGAGGGCCTATCCACAACCAAGAATGTCAGCAGACAATAAGGCGATGGTCAGGTGGTTGTTAATTGTCTCTCTGAAATAATAATTTGTCACAGCCAGTTCCAGGGAAAGGCAGTCACCCTATAGAAAAAAAAAAAAACTGAAATTGGTGATCAGCAGCTTCTGGATAAGATCTCAGGAGGTGAGCGAGTGGACTCAGACATGCGCATTAAGAGACAAAATGGCAGAGTTTAATGGTATATGATGTTTCAGGGGCATTCCACCAGCAAAGGGAAGAATGCCTTGGGAGAGCATGTGTACAAGTCCAGTAAACACACTGCACATACTCACCTCCCAAGTGCTAGCAGGCCACTACACATGCAGGTAGCTCACTTCAAGGGAAGAATGAAGGGAAAAGGGATGCAAGATGCTGGAAGTAAGCCAGCATATAAAACCCTAAGTCCAAAGTGAAATGGAGCACTTGTCCTCCAAGATGCCCACTTGGCCCTCTTCCAATAATACTTTATTTTAATTCCTGTTCTAAACCTTTTTCATAAACGTTCACTCCTGCTCTAAAACTTGCCTCAGTCTCTTTTATCTGCTGTATGCCCCTCAGTCAAAATCTTTTTTCTGAGGAGGCAAGAATTGAGGTTGCTGCATACCCATACAGATTCACCACCCGTAACTTGGATACCCTTCCCTGATAATACATCTGCTTCCTTAAAGTTTCAGTTTGACTAGTTTGCACTTAGCATGGGTCACTCCATTTTGGTTTGGTCTGGAATGTTGGTGCCTAGTGCAAGAGCTCAGCTCAAAACAATGGCCTCTCATAAGTTTTGTTTTACCTCAAATAGATAATTTCGAAGCTATGTGCTCATTTATTGAAGGTTTATGAGGTAAGAAATAGAAGATTCTCTTTTCTGAAAACAGCAAATGCTAATTTTATTTGCAGTTTCAGAAACACTTTTTTTTTTTTCTTTTGAGATGGGGTTTCGCTCTTGTTGCCCAGGCTGGAGTACAATGGCGCGATCTCAGCTCACGGCAACCTCCGCCTCCCGTGTTCAAGCAATCCTCCTGCCTCAGCCTCCCGAGTAGCTGGGATTACAGGCATGCGCCACCACACCCAGCTAATTTTGTATTTTTAGTAGAGACGGGGTTTCTCCATGTTGGTCAGGCTGGTCTCAATCTCCTGACCTCGTGATCCGCCTGCCTTGGCCTCCCAAAGTACTGGGATTACAGGAGTGAGCCACTGCGCCCGGCCCAGAAACACATTTTTAAAATCATTATAAATAACAATTATATGTGGCTACATAAAAATATGTCTACTATCAACCAAGAAATAAAATTAATTTCAAAACTTCATGTTACATGGGAGATTAGAATTTAAATTTTTTAAAAAAGCGAATATCTCCTTAATTACCTTTAACTATTGTTGTCCTGTATGTCAGTAAAAAGTAACTTTCTGAAAATATTTGAACAGATTTATTCTGAGCCAAATATGAGTGAGCGATGGCCTGTGACACTGCCCTCAGGAGATCCTGAGAACATGTGCTCAAAGTGGTCAGAGTACAACTTGGTTTTATACCTTTTAGGGAGACTGTGAGACATCAATCCATACATGTAAAACGTACATTGGTTTGGTCCAGAAAGGCAGGATAACTGGAAGTGGGGGCTTCCAAATCAAAGGCAGATTCACAGATTCTTGTCTTCTTGGAAGAAATAATTAAGTCAAGAGACATGCAGTAATAGATAAGCAGCAGCAAACTTACTTATTTAAAGGGACGGTACACTCTGAAAGCCAAGTCAGAGCAGGCTGCTCGAGAATGAGTGTCAACTGACACTGGGGAACCCTCTTTATATGAATCTTAAATAATTATTCATAGAAGTGGCATGACGTGGTGTTGCTAGCATGCATGTTTTGCGTGGCCCCCTGGGTGTGCATGTGCTATAACCATACATGCTAAGTGCATATGTCATATGTCTTATTAGCATGTTAAATCTCAACCAGGGTGTGTTTTAATTATTATAATGAAGAAAAGGTTACCTTTAAGGTGAGGCAAGTGGAAGTGCACATGCTCGCTACTGAGGAAAGTCCTCAGTATTTCCTACTGAAATTATTTACTACTAGGGCCAGGTAAGTTATTTCCTACTAGGCCTACTGAATTTTCCTACTGAAATTATTTCCTACTAGGGCCTGAAGTTATTTCCTACTAGGGCCAGGTAAGTAAGTCCCAGTTTAAGGCCAGATAATCCTAACCACAATTACATATGTGACTTTTTTTTTTTTCTGATTTTTTTAGTGGGGCACTGTTTGCTGGTGTGACAAAGTTTCCAGGGCTTCAGGTCTCCAGGGTTCCCTTTCATGCTCATGTCTACCTATCTGCCTGCTCTAGCAGATGTATTCTTACACATTTATCACTGGGGTTCCAATGAAAAATTAATGCCATGAATAAAGCATTGGTTGGAGAAAAAAATGACATGTTTTTAAAATAAGATTAAATGTGTTTCATAAAGTGTTAATTTTCTTATACGTGATTCTATATTATATATAAATTAGTTTGGTCTTTTTCTGGGAGTGAAAGGAATTCATATATTTTCTCTGTCAACACATTTTTAAAAATATATGACATGCACTGTTTATGCCCAAGTTATTTCATTATAAAAGTTTGAAACATGTTTTTAAAAAAATATCTTCATACTTTTTTCTTAGCATTGGTATTCTGAAGTAAGGGAAATAAAGTTTTGGGAAGATTATTAGTTTTAATCCACAGGATCGGCATGTATTTCTTAGAATAAAATTGTAAGATAGTATGATCAAAAAGCAAATACTTACAAAGCCTTATTTTTTCTTCTATATCCCAGTGTTTATGAGATCATGACCCAAATTCTCTTTTACCACTCATTATAGACCTAGTTAGTCCCATGTTGCTGGCATTCCAAGCTACAATCACAATAGCAGAAGGCGTGGCAGCATCTCAACTCTGAGAATAAAGACACAGGACCAAAATATCTATGGTTTTACCATTTTTTATATCAAAATATATGACTAACGCCAGAGGTCATACAAATTAAATATATTATTTTATTGTATCAAAACAGTGCATGACTAGAAACAAATCTACCGATTAGGAAAAAATATGGACTGGTATATCAGCTATAATTAATACAGTAATAATGAAAACGTGAATAATTAAAATAATAATAAAAACAAAAAGCAGAAGAAAATTGTATCTACATAGAAATTGAGTTTGTTAATACCTTTTATTAACATTGTTACATCCAATGAGAACACGTGAACACGGAGAGGAAAATCACACACGGGGGCCTGTTGCGGTGTGGGGGGCTAGGGGAGGGATAGCATTAGGAGAAATACCTAACGTAAATGACGGGTTGATGGGTGCAGCAAACCACCATGGCACGTGTATACCTATGTAACAAACCTGCACGTTCTGCACATGTATCCCAGAACTTAAAGTATAATAATAAAATAAAATCGATGAATTAAAAAAATCATTACAGCAAGGTAGAAGATGGTGAATGATATCAGAAGACAAAGCAGCAATGAACAAATGTAGGAACTATTTCAAAAATCCAAAGCTCCACTGCTTGATATTGGCACAGAATCTTCACAACAGTATAGAGTCAAATTAAAATAAGGCTTTATAGCAGCACTGATGTATATCTTGAAAGTGTATGTGTCGATCTAGCAGTAGTGATATATATCCTGAAAATGTACATGCCAATCTATGTTTAAAAGTACCTGTTAAAAACTAAGCTTCAAGAAGCCCTTAATTATCAAAGTGTCACAATTTAACATCCTGAACTTTGCACATACTCACAAGCATGCAGGTAAATGTGTACACACTCATACTTGTACAACAAACTTCAGCCCAGTATGACTATTAAACAGTATGCACACACACACACACACACACACACAAACATAGTACCTGACCACCTACAATTGCATACAACAAATTTTTTTTGATTGTGTTACCATTATAAGCAGCTACACATTTAAAGGATAATATTATCCAATGAACAGTCTGGATCTTCAGTGAGTGATTTCTTTATATCTGAAATGCATATTTTTACAATTGTTAGAAAATATACAATGACAAGAGAAGAAACAGGCAGGCACAAAGCCAGCAACAAAAAATTTTCATTGAAATTTATAACAAAGTCACTAATACGGCCCAATATATCTTAGAAACAAACAGGTTTAGTACTTTAATATAAATGCCAGGAGATTAAATAACTTTTTTGTTTAAAAGAATATACTAAATATTTTCAAGAGTAAAAAGTAGACCCTACTACTATAAATTTCAGCAAAATACAATGCCAAATTAAGATTGGGAACGAGATCTAAATTCTTGTTTAACACTAGTGACATGGCATGGTACACAAGTTTATTTTTTGGTTACTGAAAGAGGTTTGGCAAATGAAACAATGGCCTTGGTTTTTTAATTCATCAAGGACAATGCAGTGCATGTATATTTTGAAAACAAAAGGAAAAGGAAGTCCATAGAAATATGAGCTGTCTACAGAATTTTCCTTTAAAAGAGAATGTGATATTTCTTTTGGCACACAATATTAATTTATTTTATCACTGTATAACATGCTTTACTTAATTATTTAAAGATGCATTTCTCAAATGAGCACAAACTTCTTACGAACAAGAACTTCATAGACTGTTGGTGGGAATATAAATTAGTTGAGGCATTGTGGAGAGAAGCTTTCCAGTTTCTCAAAGAACTAAGAGTTAAACTACCATTCAACACAGCAATTCCATTTTTTGGTATATATGCGAAGGAAAATAAACTGTTCTACCAAAAAGACACATACACCAGCATGTTCATCACAGCACTCTTCACAGCAGCAAATACATGAAATCAGCCCATGTGCCATCAATGGTAGATGGGATAAAGAAAATATGGTATATATACACTGTGGAATACTACACAGCCGTAAAAAGAATGAAAACATGTCCTTTGCCAAAGCATGGATGTAGCTGAAGGCCATTATCGTAACCAAATTAGCAAAGAAACAGAAGACCAAATATTGCATATTCTCACTAGCAATGTGGAAGCTAAACATTGGGTATATGTCAACATAAAGACGGGAACAATAACACTACGATAGGAAAAAACAAAGTGGGGAGGGAAGGTGGGGGTAAAGGTTGAAAACTACCCATTGTGTACCATGCTCATTACCTGGGTCATGGATTCAGTCATACTCCAAACCTCAGCATCATGCAATATTCTTTTGTAACAAATCTGCACATGTATTCCTTGATTCTAAAATAAAAGTTAAAAACACAATAAAAGGACAATTGTATTTTTTAAAGTAGTGTTTTGGGGCCAAGATGGCTGACTAGAAGCAGCTGGTGTGTGCCACTCTCATGCAGAGGAGATACAGTGGTAAGTACAAACTAGTTCTTCATGTGAATTGTCCAGGAGGTCACATTGGCATTCATCAAGGAAGCATTGGTGACCTATGGAGAGCAGACAAGAGTGAGGCAGGACAGTCACCCACCAAGCACTGGCACAGAGGGAAGGGAGGCTCCCCATCATGGAGAGATGATCAGTGAGTGAGAGCTCCTGGAGACCCACATTTTGGCTATGGACTTTTGCAATACTGGGCACTTGAGAGTCCCCCCCTGACTCCCACCCCACCTGCCCCTCTCCCTCTGGGATCTCCAGAGTGACATAGAGAGCTGCATGGAATTTGGACAGACCTACCGCTTATGCCCCAGGAAATCCCAAGGGCCTCGGATTGCTGAGAACCCCATAACCAGCTGCCATAGCACCACCAACAAGGGAGGCCAGGCTATCTTGCATGCCTCCAGTACAGGAGAGGTATCCACAGTGCTAAGGAGTGGATAGACTGCAGGCCCTACCACCACTACACCTTGCCAGGCAAAGCCCACTGGCCTGAGACCCAAACACAACCACTCTACCCCTGCCTGAGGACTCCAGCAGGTCACAGCTCTCCAACTTTTCTGGGATAGAGCTCCCAGTGGTAACCTACAGGACCGCCTCAATTGCCACTGCCATGACCCCCATCCCGCAGGCTGGGGTGAGAACTACAAGCCCAAGAGCTGTCGTAGTCCGCCAGCATGCCACAGCTATGGAAAAGTGGCCAGGCAGTTTTCCACACAGGCCTCTGCCCCTGCTACCCTTCAATGGGCAGGGCCTCCTTACCTGCACCCCCAGTGCAGCTGCCATACAATCATCTAATCACTTCAGTCAGCAGTGGCTCTTTTATTTATCTGGGGTGGAATTCCCAGATACAACTGACAAGCCCTATGCCATTGCCACTGCAGCAGTACCTGTTCTTGCTTCCCTTTGGCTGGGGAGTGAACAAAGGCCCTGATTGCTTTACTCACGTCTACAACATGCTGCAGCTGCCATGCAAAGAGGAGGTCAATCTCTCTGAGACCCAACCTCCTGCTCTTCACCAGTCAGGACCCCTGGAATTTGGCCACAGCATGGCTTCCCCACCTCTGTGGGGTAGAGCTCACAGAGACAAGTGACAGACCCTTTGCCATTGCCACTGCCAAATTTCCCACCCCACTGCCCCCAAATTGAGGAGGGAAGAAATAGCCTGAACTTGCCCAAGGGCTGTGATATACAGGCTCAGAGGGCCAAGCCAAGATCTGTGGCCAGTACTTCAGTGGGAGAGGAGCCCATACTCTAGGACGGAGAGAGGGCATGGCTGAAATCATGAGGAAATAGAGGAGCCGGAGGGGGCTGAGTAGTAACTTATCTGATTGCCATTATTAAGCACAATCTGATGGGTCACAGCCCAAACTAGATAAAAAATACATGGCTAATATAATCCCTTATGAAACCAAGGGCAAGAATTCAGCCACAAAAATTACATATACTGCACAAAGCCTTGGCCCTCCAAAAACATCCAGAAATGAAGCCAAATGACAAGACTCAAATTATAACACAGGTAAAGGAACATTAGGCCACGAAGATGAGAAAGAACCAGCAAAAGAACTCTAGCAACTCTAAAAGCGAGAGTATCTTCTTATCTCCAAAGAACCACACTGTCTCCCTAGCAATGGTTCTTAATCAGACTGAAATGTCTTAAATGGGAGACATAGAATTCAGAATCTGGATGGCAATGAAAATCATCAAGATTCAGGAAAAATGTGAAACCCAATCCAAGGAATCCAAAGAATCCAGTAAAATCATTCAAGACCTGAAAGACAAAATAGCCATTTTAAGAAAAAAAAAAAGTGATCTTCTAGAGCTAAAAAATATACTATAAACATTTCATAATGTAATCATAAGTGTGATTATGAAATTATGAAATACACCAAGGTGAGGGAAGAAGCTCAGAGTTTTAAAACTGGTACTTCTACTCCACCCAGACAAAATAAAAACAAATTAGAAAGAATGTACAAAACATCATTACAATATGGGATTATGCAAAAAGACCAAACCCATGGCACACTTGCATCCCTGAAAGAGAAGGAAATGGAGCAAGTAAACTGGAAAACATATTACCCTGATACCAAATCCAGACAAAGCAACATCAAAAAAGAAAAAAAAAGGAAAGAAAAAACATTACAGGTCAATATCTCTTATGAATATTGTTGCAAAAATAAAAAAAAATCCTAGCAAACCAAATTCAACAATACATTAAAAATGTTATTCATCTTGACCAAGTGGGATTTATCCCTGAGATTCAAGGATGGTTTAATATATGCAAATCAATCAGTGTGATACATCATATCAACAGAATGAAGGATACAAACTGTATGATTATTTTAATTAATGCTGAAAAACGTTTGATACAATTCAACATCCCTTCATGAAAAAAACACTAAAAACCTGGAGATAGAAGAAACATTCCAATACATAACAAAAGCCATATATGACAGACCCATAGCTATTAATATTATTATACTGAATAGGGAAAAACTGAAAGCCTTTTCTATAAAATCTGGAATATGACAAGGATGCCCACTGCCACCAACCACTCTTATTTAACATAGCACTGGATATTCTAGCTAGAGAAATCAAAGAAGTGAAACATATAAAAGCCATCCAAATTAAAAAGAAGTCAAATTATTCTTGTTCGCAGATGATATGATCATTTATTTGGGAAAACCTAAAGACTCCACAAAAAAACAGAACTAATAAAATATTCAGTAAAGATTCGAGATTCAAAATCAACATAAAAAAGTGGCATTTCTATATGCAAACAGTAAACAATATGAAAAAGAAACCAAAAAGCAATCCCATTTACAATAGCCATACATAAAATTAAATTCCTAAAAATTAATGAAAGAACTGAAAGGTGTCTATATTAAAAACTGTAAAACACTGATGAAAGGAATTGAAGAGGACACCAAAAAAATAGATAAATAATCCATATTCATTGATTGGAAAAACAATATTGTTAAAATGTCCATACTACCTAAAGCAATCAACAGATTCAATGCAATCCTTATCAAAATACAAATGACATTCTTCACAGAGATAGAAAAAAAATCCTAAAATTTATAAAGAACCATAAAAGACACAGAATAGCCAAAACTATCCTAAGCAAAAAGAACAAAACTGGAGGAATCACCTCACCTGATTTCAAATTATACTACAGAGGGATTGTAATGGAAACAACATGGTATTGGCATAAAAACAGACACATAGATCAATGGAACAGAATAGACAAACCAGAATCAAATCCACTCATTTACAGTGAACTGATTTTCGAGAAAGGGGCTAAGAACATACACTAGGGAAAAGATAGTCTCTTTTTTTCTTCCCATCATTGGCTAAAAAAGACAGTCTCTTCAATAAACGGTGCTGGAAAAACTGGATATCAATATGCAAAAGAATTAAACTAGAGCAGTATCTCTCACCATATACAGAAATCAAATCAAAATGGATTAAAGACTTAAATCTAATACCTCGAATCCTGGAACTAATACAAGAATACTTTGGAAAAAAATCTCCAGGACACTGGTCTGTGCTTACATTTTTTGAGCACTACTCTAGAAGCACTGGAAGCCAAAGCCAAAATGGACAAATGGGATCACACCAAGTTGAAAAGCCTCTGCACAGCAAAGGATAAAATCAACAAAGTGATGGACAACACAAAGAATGGGAGAAAATACTTGCAAACTACCTATCTGACAATGAATTAATAACCAGAATATATAAGGAGTTCAAACAACTCAATAGGAAAAAATAATCCCATTAATACATGGGCAAAGATTTAAATAGACATTTCCCAAAAGAAGGCATACAAATGGCAAAGAAGCATATGAATAGTTGCTCAATATCATTGATCATCAGAGAAACTTAAATCAAATCTACAATGAGATATCATCTCACCCCAGTTAAAATGGCTTATATCCAAAAGACAGGGAATAACAAACGCTGGTGAGGATGTGGAGAAAAGGAAACCCTCGTACACTGTTGGTGGGAATGTAAATTAGTACAACCACTATGGAGAATAGTTTTGGGGAGGTTCCTCAAAAAGCTAAAAATCGATCTACCATATGATCCAGCAATCCCACTGCTGGGTGTATACTCAATGAAATGAAATCCATGTAGTGAAGAGATACCTGCACTTCTATGTTTGCTGCAGCTCCGTTTCCAATAGCTAAGATTTGGAACCAACCTAAGTGTCCCTCAACGGATGAATGGATAAAGAAAATGTGGTACATATAAACAATGAATTACTATTTAGCCATAAAAAAGAATGAGGTCCCGTCATTTGCAACAACATGGATGGAACTGGAGACCATTATGTTACGTGAAATAAGACAGGCACAGAAAGAAACAGCACATGTTCTCACTTATTTGTTGGATCCACAAAAAATCAAAACAATTTAACTTGTGATACTCCATTGAGTTGCAAACAGGCCAGTTACACTCTGGTTACCAGAGAATCCGAAGGGTAATGGGGGATGGTGAGGGAGGTGGCGATGGTTAACGGGAACAAAAAATATAGAAAGAATGAAAAAGACCTACTATTTGATAACATAATAGTGTGACTTTAGTCAATAATAACTAACTGTACATTTTAAAATGACTTAAAGACTGTAATTGGATTGTTTGCAACTCAATGAATAAATGCTTGAGGAAATGAATACTCCATTCTTCATGATGCACTTATTTCACATTTCATGCCTGTGTCAAAACATCTCATGTACCCTATAAATATACACACGTTATGTTCCCCTCCAAAAAATTTAAATTTAAATTTAATTTTTAAAAAATTATAAGAAAAAGTAATTTAATAAAAATCAATGTTTCTCATAAACATCCCTCAGAAAACTAAAAGTAGAAAAGAATATTGTGAAGCTGATAATCCTTACCAATAACATAAACTGTCATTTAACACATATTTTGTATGTTATATGCATTATATACTGTATTCTTACAATAACGTAAGCTAGATAAAAGAAAATGTTATTAAGAAAACCATAAAGAAGAAAAAATATATTTGCTATTCATTAAGTGGACATGTATCATCATTCATCATAAAGATCTTCATCCTCATTGTCTATGTTGAATAGGCGTAGGAGGAGGAGAAAAACGAAGGGTTGATCTAGGTGTCTCAAGGGTAGCAGAGGCAGAACAAAATCTATATATAAATGAACCTGTACAGTTAAAACCCATGATGTTCAAGGATCAGATGTATATGAACAACTGATTTTTGGCACAAGTACAGAGAAAATGCAATGTAAAACTGATATTCATTTTAACAAATGATGCTAAAATTCTTTTTATTATTATTATTATACTTTAAGTTTTAGGGTACATGTGCACAACATGCAGGTTTGTTACATATGTATACATGTGCCATGCTGGTGTGCTGCACCCATTAACTCGTCATTTAGCATTAGGTATATCTCCTAATGCTATCCCTCCCCCTCCCCCCACCCCACAACAGTCCCCAGAGTGTGATGTTCCCCTTCCTGTGTCCATGTGTTCTCATTGTTCAATTCCCGCCTATGAGTGAGAACATGCGGTGTTTGGTTTTTTGTCCTTGCGATAGTTTGCTGAGAATGATGGTTTCCAGCTTCATCCACGTCCCCACAAAGGGCATGAACTCATCCTTTTTTATGGCTGCATTGTATTCCATGGTGTATATGTGCCACATTTTCTTAATCCAGTCTATCACTGTTGGACATTTGGGTTAGTTCCAAGTCTTTGCTATTGTGAATAGTGCCGCAATAAACATACGTGTGCATGTGTCTTTATAGCAGCATGATTTATAATCCTTTGGGTATATACCCAGTAATGGGATGGCTGGGTCAAATGGTATTTCTAGTTCTAGATCCCTGAGGAATCGCCACACTGACTTCCACAATGGTTGAACTAGTTTACAGTCCCACCAACAGTGTAAAAGTGTTCCTATTTCTCCACATCCTCTCCAGCACCTGTTGTTTCCTGACTTTTTAATGATCGCCATTCTAACTGGTGTGAGATGGTATCTCATTGTGGTTTTGATTTGCATTTCTCTGATGGCCGGTGATGATGAGCATTTTTTCATGTGTGTTTTGGCTGCATAAATGTCTTCTTTTGAGAAGTGTCTGTTCATATCCTTCGCCCACTTTTTGATGGGGTTGTTTGTTTTTTTCTTGTAAATTTGTTTTGAGTTCTTTGTAGATTCTGGATATTAGCCCTTTGTCAGATGAGTAGGTTGCAAAAATTTTCTCCCATTCTGTAGGTTGCCTGTTCACTCTGATGGTGGTTTCTTTTGCTGTGCAGAAGCTTTTTAGTTTAATTAGATGCCATTTGTCAATTCTGGCTTTTGTTGCCATTGCTTTGGGTGTTTTAGTCATGAAGTCCTTGCCCATGCCTATGTCCTGAATGGTAATGCCTAGGTTTTCTTCTAGGGTTTTTATGGTTTTAGGTCTAACATGTAAGTCTTTAATCCATCTTGAATTAATTTTTGTATAAGGTGTAAGGAAGGGATCCAGTTTCAGCTTTCTACATATGGCTAGCCAGTTTTCCCAGTGCCATTTATTAAATAGGGAATCCTTTCCCCATTGCTTGTTTTTGTCAGGTTTATCAAAGATCAAATAGTTGTAGATATGCAGCATTATTTCTGAGGGCTCTGTTCTGTTCCATTGGTCTGTATATCTGTTTTTGTACCAGTACCATGCTGTTTTGGTTACTGTAGCCTTGTAGTATAGTTTGATTATAAAAAGCAAAACAGTTACAATTTACTAAAATTATTTGAAAAATGACAAAGTTGAAGAACTTACTTTGCCTAATTTCAAAATTTATTTAAAGGTACAATAATCACCCATGTGTGGTTACACATGCTTGTAGTTCCAGAAGCTCAGGAGGCTGAGATGAGTATATCCTGGGCACCATAGTGGGACTCCTTCTCTAAAAGTAAAAATAAAAATGCAATATCCCATATGTCATTTTAGTAGAAGGATAAATACATAAATAAATGGAAAGAGATAGTCTAGAAATAGATCTACTCATATATTATTAATTAATTTTAAATAAATGTATCTGGGTACTTAAAAGGGAAATAGAATATGTTTTCAAAAAATGGTGTTACATCAACTTGATAGCCACATGGAAAAAAAAACATAAACTTTACATCAACACCATTCCCAAAAATAATTTGAGATATGTCTGTACCTAAATTTAAAACTTAAAACTATGTAAACTGTGGAAGAAAACATAAGAAAAAAGAAGATTTTCTATCTTAGGATAGGCAACTATTTCTTTTCCACAACACAAACACACATGCACACAAACAAACATGAAACGTAAAAAAATTGTAAGTTAAACATCACCATAATTTCAAAGAATTTAAAATCAAAAGAAGAGAAAGATAATGAAAAGCCAAGGTGTTTAGACTGAAAGTAATTATTCACAACACTTCTAGCCAATATTTGTATCCAGAGTATATAAAGCACAATTACAACTAGGTAATAGCAAATGAAACAATCTAATTTAAAAATGGGCAATATATTTAATTAAACATGTTGCCGAACAGACATGAATGGCAAATAAGCATATGACAAGATGCTCACATTATTTGTCATAATGTACAAGGAAATTAAACCAAAAATATAATGCTTACACACACACACACACACACACACACACACACACACAAGTGATTCTAATTAAAATAACTGACAATTCTAAGTATTAAACAGGATATGGAGCAATTCGAAATCTCATATATTGCTCTTCACAATGCAAAATGACATAGACCCTTTCAACAGAACTTGGCAGTTTCTTACTAAGTTAAGCATCCACTTAACGTATTACCCTAAAATTTTGCTCCTAGGAATTTACCTGATAGAAATGATAATATGGTCGGTTGCAGTGGCTCACGCCTGTAATCCCAGCACTTTGGGAGACCAAGGCAGACAGATTACGAGGTCAGGAGATCGAGACCATCCTGGCCCGTATGGTGAAACCCCATCTCTACCAAAAATACAAAAATTAGCTGGGTGTGGTGGCACACGCCTGTTATCCCAGCTACTCGGGAGGCTGAGGCAGGAGAATCAATTGAACCAGGGAGTCGGAGGTTGCAGTGAGCCGAGATCGCAACACTGCATTCCAGCCTGGTGAAAGAGTGAGACTCCATCTCAAAAAAAAAAAAAAAAAAAAAAAAAAAAGACATAATAATATATGCCCTTCAAAAGGCATATACTCAAATGCTCAAATGTTCCTGATGGCTTTATTCATAATAGCCTGAACCTGAAACTAACCCAAATGAAAATGATGTAGAAAATAGATAACTAATTTGTGGCATGTCCATGAAGTGGTACATTACTCAGCAAGAAAAAAAAAAGGAACAAAAAATTCATACATGGAACAATGTGAATTAGTTAAAAAGCCTAAATAAATGAAACACTTAAAATGCATATTATGTCATTTCATTTTTTGAAATTCCTGAAAAGGCAAAACTATAGTTTCAGAAAGCAGATCAACTATTGCCAGAAACGAGAAGGGGAAGAGGTTGATGAGGGTTGATCACAAGGGATCTGGTTAATTTCATTTAGCATAATGTCCTCCAGGTTTATGCACAATGTCACATGTAGCAAAATTTCCTCATTTTTTAAGACTGAATAATATTCCATTATATGTATATACCACATTTTTTAACCTATTCATCTGTTGATGAACATTAAGTTTGTTTCCATACCTTGGCTGCTGTAAATACCACTGCAATAAACATAGGAGTACAGATAACTTTTAGGTGTTCTAACTATGATTATTTTAGAAATATACTCAGAAATGATTTTGCTGGATCATATGATAGTTCTATTTTTAATTTTTTGAGGAATCTCTATAACATTTTCCAAAGTGGCTGCACCATTTTACATTCCCAGCCACAGTGTACAAGGAAGGAAGCGTTCTAATTTATCCACAAGCCTACCAAAACTTTTATCCTTTGATTTTTTTATAACAGTCATTCTAACATGCCTGAGAATATCTCATTGTGATTTTGATTTGCATTTTCCTGATGGTTAGTGATGCTGTGTATCTTTCTGTATGCCTGTTCACCATTTGTATGTCTTCTTTGGAAAAATGTCTGTTCAAGTTTCTGTCCATTTTTTAAAAAGACAATATTTTCAGAGTTTTAAGTTCACAACAAAATTGAGAAGAAGGGACAAAGATATCCTATACAACTCTGTCACCACACATGCACAACCTCCCCAATCATCAATATGCCCCACCAGGGTGGTCAATTTTTTACAATTGAGGAGCTACATTGACACATGATATTACCAAGAGTCCATCAATTACATTCTTTCACTCTTGGTCTTATATATTTTGTAGTTTTAGACAAAATTATGACATATGTACACCATTATAATGTCATTCAGAGTATTTTTAAGGGTTTAAACATTCTTTGTGCTCTGCCTATTCATCCTTCCCTTGCCCCAACACTGACAACTACAAAAATTTGTATTGACTCTAGATTTTGACTTTTTCAGAAGTTATATAATTAAAATCATGTAGTATGTAGCCTTTTTAAATTGTCTTCTTTCACCCAGTAATATGAATTTCAGTTCCCTCTGTGTCTTCTTATGGCTTGATATCTCATTTTGTTTTAGTACTTAATAATATTCTATTGTCTGGATGTACCACAGATTATTTATTTATTTGCCTACTGTAGGACATATTGGTTGCTTCCAAGTTTTGGAAATTATGAATAAAGCTGCTGTAAATATCTGTGTGCAGGACTTTTTGTGGACTTAAGTTTTCAGCTCCTTTGGAAGTTGAGCATGCACACAGGACAGAGATTGCTGCATCACAAGGTAAAATTATATTTAGTTTTGTAAGATTCTACAAAACTGTCTTCAAAAGTGGCTGTACTAGTTTGCATTTTCACAATAATGAATGATAGTTTCTGTTACTCCACATTCTCACCAATATTATGTGTTGTCTGTGTTCTTGATTTTGGCCATTCTCATAGTTGTGTGGTGGTATTTCTTTGTTTTTATAAATTTGCATTTCCCTGATGACATATAATGTGGAGCATCTTTTTATATGCTGATTTTCATCTGTATATCTTTTTTGGCAAGGTGCCTATTAAGTCTTTGATCTATTTCTTAATCAAAATATTTTTGTTATTGACTTTTAGGAGTTCCTTATATACATTACATATTATCCACTTATCAGATATATGATTTGCAAATATAGGTTGCCTTTTCATTCAGTCAATTGTTTCTTTTGTTGTGCAGAAGCCTTTTAGATGGATGTATGTACACTTGTCTACTTCTGCTTGTTTCTTGTGCTTTTGATTGCATATCCAAGAAATTAGTGTCAAGACCAATGTCATAACACGTTGTCCCTAGGAGTTTTACATTCTCAGGTCTTATATTTCAAACTTTAATCTATTTTGAGTTTGATGTGTGTGTGCACGTGTGGTGTGTGTATGTGTGTGTGGTGTGAAGAAAAAGGGTCCAATTTCATTCTTCTTGCATGTGGATTTCCAGCACCATTACTTGAATAGATTGTCCTTTCTTTATTCAGTATTATTGACAAACTTGTTAAAGATCAGTTAACTGTATACAGTATTCATGGGTTTATTTCTGGGCTTTCTATTTATTTTTCAACTATACTGTAAGTTTTTTTTATACCAATATTGTGCAGTTTAAATCACTGTAGCTCTGTAATACATTTTAAAATCAGAAAGTATGGTGTCTTAAGCTTTGTTCTTTCTAAAGATTTCTTTGGACAATCAGGATCTTATATGGTCCCATTTTACAGATAAAATTGACAAACTGTTAGCTAGGCTAGTTATTAAAAACAAAAACAAAGAGACGACTCAAAAAGTATTATAAATGAATGAGGGGACATTAGAACTAAAGCCACAGAAATGAAAAGAATTATAAGAGAGTATGACGAATAATTATTTGCCAACAAATTAGTAAAGTAGAAGAAATGGATAAGTTCTTAAAAACATATAACCTTCTAAGACTGAATCATGAAGAAATAGAAAATGTGAACAGACCAATAACAGAAGTTTATTGAATTAGTAATCAAAAACCTCCCAACAAAGAAAAGCCCAGGACCAGATGGATACACTGATTTATTCTACTGCACATTTAAAGGATAATTAACACCAATCCTTCTCAAATTCTTTCAAAAAATTGAAAAGCAAAGAGCACTTCCATACTCATTTCATGAGACCAGGATTACACTGATGTCAAAGCCAAATAAAGATATTACTAGGGAAGTAAACTATAGCTCAGTATCCCTGATCAATTCCTATAAAAATATCCTCAACAAAACCCTAGCAAACTGAATTCAACAGCACATGAAAAGGATCATACTCCATGACCAAGTAGAGTTTACTCCCGGGATAAAAGCATTGTTCAACATATGCAGATGCATTGATGCAAAACATTGCATTAAGAGAATGAAGAAAAATTACATGATTATCTTAATAGATGCAGGAAAATCATTTGATAAAATTCAATAGCCTTTCATGACAAAAAATCTCACAAATGAGAATTCTTAAGTAGCAAAAGTGGTATTTATAAGTCTCTTTATTCCTTCTCCTCAATCACTTTAACAACCATAAAGCAAGCTTTATTTTTATACCTGTCTTCTTTCTTTTTTAAACAATTTCCTTTTTATTTATTTAATTTTTAAATTTATAATCTTGACACATAATATTTGTACATATTTTTTGGGTACAATGTGATATGCTAATGCATGTATACATAGTATAATGATCAAATCAGGGCAATTATCATATCCTTCCCTTTAAAAACTTTCTCATTATGAAATATAACATACACATATAATAATGCACAGAACAAATGTTCAGAGGTCCATAATTTATGTATAATGTAAACACCAGTGTCCCACCAAGCGTGTCGAGAATTAGAACATTGACAGCTCCCAAAAGCTTCCCTCACACTAGTTTTAAATCACTACCGTCTTCTTTCCCTGCAAAGATAACCAGTATGGTGCCTTTCATGGCAATCATTTATTTGCTTTTGCTTATAATTTTACTTCTTAACTGTGCTTCCCGAAACATTGCAGTAGTAGTAGTGGTAGTTTTTCTATTTTTTTAATTAATCACATGTGTATATATATGTGTTTGTCTGTGTGGATGTATATATATAATATACATCACAGTATATATGAGTTTTTAATATACATACACAAATATATACCTATCATATATATCTAGTGTATATCTACATGAATAATATATTGCATAAATCATTATATACATACAGTATGTATATATGTAATATATACAGTATATATTTATATATGTATGTAATATAACATGTAATATATGTAGTTTATGTATATAAGTATATAATACATACATTCATATATATCAGTATATAGGTATATAATACATATAGTGTATTATATTTTACAGATTGTATGTATATATGTTTATAATACGTATATGTATATATTACAGTATATATGTATAAAATACATACAGTGTATATTTTACATTATTTTATACTGTATATATGTATATATATAATCTGTGCCTTATAATTTTAAAATTTAGAACTCTTATAGTTCTATCTCCATTATCTAATTTGTTCTGTTGATTTTCATCAATATCTTTGCATCTCATATGCTCATATGTCTGGTCATTTCTTACTGCATGCTGCATCTTTCACTTGCAAAGTTGTTTGAAAAACCAATTTGATGTTTAGTCTGATGTGATCTACCTCATACTAAACAGATAGAATATACTTTTTCTTTTATCAGCTTCCAGAGATCACTAGACCTAAGAGACACTGCAAACATTAGCACTCCTGGATAGCTTTAATCCAATTAAAGAATTGAATTGGTCTAAAACTAGTATAAATTTTCTGGGAGGCTTCCTACTTTTTATTCACTTTTCAACATGGAAATCAGCACTTTTGAGTCTGAAAGCAAATGAATTGTGTTCACCGGGGCCACTGCGGCAGAGTCTCTAAAATGGTCTACTCTGACCCCTGCCCTTTGTGGAATGCCCTCGTGTAATTGTCTCCCCTTGAGTTTTAGCTAGAACTGGTGATTCACTTGTAATCATTAGAATATGGCAAAAGAGTTGGGATGTTGCCTCCTCGATTAGGTTCAGTTCCAAGAAGACTGTGACAACATTAGGCTCACCTCACTGAGCATCCAGATAGACAGATCAATAGATTGATAAATAGAGATAGATAGATAGATGACAGATTAGATAGATAGATAGATAGATAGATAGATAGATAGATGATAGATACAGAGGTATATATCTCAGCTTTTGTAGGTGTGCTCGGGGGAGGTTACTTAATTTGCTATTACCAGTTTGATTTTTATTTTTTATAAAATTAATTCATAGTTTATCTCCCTAATTAGAATTACCATTTTTGCAATCTGCTCTCCTTTGAAAATCAGAAATCTGACAGAATCATACCTATAATCTCATACATTTTAAATATATTGATCCACAAATTCAAATAATTCAAATTTATGTTTCTCTATTTTACTTCATAGTTTAATCCAAATAAAAACTGTAACCCTCTAAAACATTAAAATGAACAAATACTCCCTAAAACAAAAATTAGATAAATTGCAAAAGGGTTTTACTTTCGAGAGACTCATCATAGTAATACAATAAATATTTCAGAAATGAAAAAGCTCATGCTTTGTTCAAAGTAGAGTTTTCATTTGTACAACACCTGTCTGTGCTGCTTAGTCCTTTTTACATATTCACTCAACACAATATTCAAATTTAGAAAAAAAGTCAAGTAATTTTCTCGTGTGCAAATTTCCTACAAAGTGCATATTAGTCTCTACTTACTTCAATACCTACTTTGTAATTCAGAAATGAGTATACGCCATAAGTGGCTCCAATTCAGTGATTTTACTGAGCAAAGTTGAAGTCTTTTGAGACTGTCTACAGGTAGATATTACAATATAAATGCAAATAGAAAAATTCATTGATTCACAAATCTTGGGAAAAAGTCAAAGATTACATTAAATATTATTTTAAAAGTTATAGTCTGTTTTGATGTTTGTATTTTGAAGCTTAGCTTATATAATAAAAATAATCTGTTTTCAGGATCCATTTTTACACTACTTAATAAAATTTCTTTAAATATGTATTGCAAATTGTCTTCTATAAAAAGGCTAGAACAGAACATTGAGTATCTTCAAGTTTCTTAAAGTATAATCGTGAATTACTACCATCTTTTTTTTGGAATGTTTGATATATATAGCACGAAACTCCTAATTACACAGCTGTCATTTTAAGTCTCAGCGCACATCATTCAAGCTGATATATGCAGAAACAAACAAATAAAAATATTTGTATGCGTATATTAACAAATAACATTTTAAATCTAGAGTTAATTGAATCATTAATTTAAATTTAGTCACAGGGTACATTGTAGGTACATGAATATTCATTTACAATGTTGACAGACTATAATCTTGGTAGCTTTTACCCTTCCAACAAGCAAAATTACTAATATACTTATTGAGAACATGGAACTGATAATAGTACTTCATTTTATGAATGCAAATGTTATAGAACCCAATATTTATCTCTTGATTTCAAGCTTTTAATAAGACTGAATTTAAACTCTGTGAAGTGGAATTTCAAATCTAATTATATCTTTATTAATGGCATGCCTTTTTATACACATTAATCTAATTGTTATACAATTATATAAAGATGTCAGTATAATTACTGTTGAAGAGTCTTGATAGAAATGTAGTTAGGTCTTCCTAATGTTATTATTGTCCATTATTTATTCCCCATTGGATTTATATTTTGTTACTTATAATGTTAAAGATAGACAGCATTAATGTACCTCAAAAGCTGAAACACAGAGAAATATTGTTCCTTGCTCTAGATTCCACAATTTGTGAACTTACTAAATATCTAATAATAGACTGACAACACTTTATAATATGCATCAATTTTCACATTGAATGGTGTAGGATTTTTAGGACGCAAACCTGGATGAGCATGTAAACCATCTATTAAATAGCTTCTCAGGTCTAAGAAATTTATATGTTCTAATGACTAGACTCAGCTTATTATAAGTAAATGATAATCATTTATGGTAATTTTAGGTTGAGGCATATCTATTTGATTTAAAGCAAATGCATGAATAATGAACTAAATGTTAGCCACGTATTTCAGAATACCTTATAAACTTTCTTACA
This sequence comes from Homo sapiens, assembly GCF_000001405.40. Classification (NCBI taxonomy): domain Eukaryota; kingdom Metazoa; phylum Chordata; class Mammalia; order Primates; family Hominidae; genus Homo; species Homo sapiens. The sequence continues at coordinate 88,539,519 of NC_000023.11, read as the reverse complement.
AAGAATTAAGAGAAACATAAAAATTATTATACACAATATCAAATATATACTTAAATTAGATATTTTAATTTTAAGCACGCTCTAGATTTCTAATCCTGCAGGAATAAAAATTTGGATAAAAGGTTTTCAAGTTTAGTTTAAAAAAATTCTAATCTATATTATGAAGAAGAATGTTTAGATACAATTATTTTTCTTATGTACAATTTAAGTAGCTCTTAAACTGGAGCTGACACAAGTAAAGATAACAGAGTTCAAGCACATGTTTTGTTTGTTCGTTTTACTTCTGAGCAGTTTTAGCTGGGGTACGTCAATGTGCTGTTTTTGATAGAAGTGCGAAAGGGACACAGCTTGATAATTTGGGGGAATATATTTCTTATAAACTTTCTCTACCATGAAGGAGAACATTCTTTATTGCCTACTTACCATATTAGTAATTCTCAAAATAATTTATATAAAATGCTAAACATTAAATGATAATTTGGACCATTAAGTTCACGTAATTTCTGATACCTAATTTTTCTCTTTATGATCTGTATGATATGCCACATTAGTTTTAAGATCTCGTATATGCTTGCAAATGTACAATGAGTGGTAAGGGACCTGATTTGTGACTCTGTACCTCATCCTTTCATGCCAGATGTTTATTCAATCTTCGGAGACCATCATGGTAAGTGAAACTGACTCAATAGTACCATAGATTAATGTTTTTGTTTGTTTGTTTTCTGAACACATAAATTAACTCTTCGGATCTTAAAACTTTTTTTTTTTTTTTTGAGACGGAGTCTCTCTCTGTCACCCAGGCTGGAGTGCAGTGGCACATCTCTGCTCACTGCAAGCTCCGCCTCCTGGGTTCATGCCATTCTCCTGCCTCAGCCTCCTGAGTAGCTGGGACTACAGGCGCCCGCCACCACGCCCGGCTAATTTTTTGTATTTTTTAGTAGATACGGGGTTTCACCGTGTTAGCCAGGATGGTCTCCATCTCCTGACCTCATGATCCGCCTGCCTCGGCCTCCCAAAGTGCTGGGATTACAGGCATGAACCACTGCGCCCGGCCAAAACTGTTTTATCTGAGTTCCTTCTTCAGGAAAGGATCCCCAGGCCTCTGAAGAAAAAAGTATCAAAGAACTGAAGATCATCAGATCACCACATCCAAACTATGAAATGCCAGACCCCTCATTCAATATGATTGCTTCCTTGCCCCTCCCTAGTTCCTGTTTTCTTAAACATTGCAACATTTCTTCTATGGTATATAAACCACTAGTTTTAGTTGGTCAGGGAGATAGATTTGAGACTGATCTCCCATCTTCTCAGCTATGGCACCTGGTTAAAACCTTCTGGATATTTCAGTATTTCTTGCTTCTTAGGATTTGACTAAAATTTAAGGTTACTAAGGATAAAAATTATAGTTAACATATAAGTCTGTATAAAATATACCAAAATACAAGAAGAGCCAACTATCCTATATATATGTGTACCCAATATAGGAGCACCCAGATTCATAAAGCAAGTCCTTAGAGACCTACAAAGAGACTTAGACTCCCACACAATAATAATGGGAGACTTTAACACCCCATTGTCAATATTAGACAGATCCATGAGACAGAAAGTTAACAAGATATCCAGGAATTGAACTCAGCTCTGCACCAAGTGGACCTAACAGACATGAACAGAGCTCTCCACCCCAAATCAACAGAATATACATTCTTCTTAGCACTACATCGCACTTATTCGAAAATTGACCACATAGTTGGAAGTAAAACACTCCTCAGCAAATGTAAAAGAACAGAAATTATAACAAACTGTCTCTCAGACCACAGTGCAATCAAACTAGAACTCAGGATTAAGAAACTCACTCAAAACTGCTCCACTACATGGAAACTGAACAACCTGCTCCTGAATGACTACTGGGTACATAATGAAACGAAGGCAGAAATAAAGATATTCTTTGAAACCAATGAGAACAAGGACACAACATACCAGAATCTCTGGGACACATTTAAAGCAGTGTGTAGAGGGAAATTTATAGCACTAAATGCCCACAAGAGAAAGCAGGAAAGATCTAAAATTGACACCCTAACGTCACAATTAAAAGAACCAGAGAAGCAAGAGCAAACACGTTCAAAAGCTAGCAGAAGGCAAGAAATAACTAAGATCAGAGTAGAACTGAAGGAGATAGAGACACAAAAAACCCTTCAGAAAATCAATGAATCCAGGAGCTAGTTTTTTGAAAAGATCAACAAAATTGATAGATCGCTAGCAAGACTAACAAAGAAGAAAAGAGAGAAGAATCAAATAGATGCAATAAAAAATGATAAAAGGGATATCACCACCAATCCCACAGAGATACAAACTACCATCAGAGAATCCTATAAACACTTCTATGCAAATAAACTAGAAAATCTAGGAGAAATGGATAAATTCCTCGACACACACACCCTCACAAGACTAAACCAAGAAGAAGTCGAATTCCTGCATAGACCAATAACAGGCTCTGAAATTGAGGCAATAATTAATAGCCTACCAACCAAAAAAAGTCCAGGACCAGACAGATTCACAGTTGAATTCTACCAGAGGCACAGAGAAGAGCTGGTACCATTCCTTCTGAAACTATTCCAATCAATAGAAAAAGAGGGAACCCTCCCTAACTCATTTTATGAGGCCAGCATCATCCTGATACCAAAGCCTGGCAAAGACACAACAAAAAAAGAGAATTTTAGACCAATATCCCTGATGAACATCGATGCAAAAATCCTCATTAAAACACTGGCAAACCTAATCCAGCTGCACATCAAAAAGCTTATTCACCATGATCAAGTGGGCTGCATCCCTGGTATGCAAGGCTGGTTCAACATATGCAAATCAATAAACATAATCCAGCATATAAACAGAACCAAGGACAAAAACCACATGATTATCTCAATACTTGCAGAAAAGGCCTTCAACAAAATTCAACAGCCCTTCATGCTTAAAACTCTCAATAAATTAGGTATTGATGGGACGTATCTCAAAATAATAAGAGCTATTTATAACAAACCCACAGCAAATATCATACTGAATGGACAAAAACTGGAAGCATTCCCTTTGAAAACTGGCACAAGACAGGGATGCCCTCTCTCACCACTCCTATTCAACATAGTGTTGGAAGTTCCGGCCAGGGCAATCAGGCAGGAGAAAGAAATAAAGGGTATTCAATTAGGAAAAGAGGAAGTCAAATTGTCCCTGTTTGCAGATGACATGATTGTATATTTAGAAAACCCCATCGTCTCGGCCCAAAATCTCCTTAAGCTGATAGGCAACTTCAACAAAGTCTCAGGATACAAAATCAATGTGCAAAAATCACAAGCATTCTTATACAACAATAACAGACAAACAGAGAGCCAAATCATGAGTGAACTCCCATTCACAATTGCTTCAAATAGAATAAAATACCTAGGAATCCAACTTATAAGGGATGTGAAGGAACTCTTCAAGGAGAATTACAAACCACTGCTCAATGAAATAAAAGAGGACACAAACGAATGGAAGAACATTCCATGCTCATGGATAGGAAGAATCAGTATCGTGAAAATGGCCATACTGCCCAAGGTAATTTATAGATGCAATGCCATCCCCATCAAGCTACCAATGACTTTCTTCACAGAACTGGAAAAAACTACTTTAAAGTTCATATGGAACCAAAAAACAGCCTGCATTGCCAAGACAATCCTAAGCCAAAAGAACAAAGCTGGAGGCATCACCCTACCTGACTTCAAACTATACTACAAGGCTACAGAAACCAAAACAGCATGGTACTGGTACAAAAACAGAGATATAGATCAATGGAACAGAACAGAGCCCTCAGAAATAATACCACACATCTACAACCATCTGATCTTTGACAAACCTGACAAAAACAAGAAATAGGGAAAGGATTCCCTATTTAATAAATGGTGCTGGGAAAACTGGCTAGCCATATGTAGAAAGCTGAAACTGGATCCCTTCCTTACACCTTATACAAAATTTAATTCAAGATGGATTAAAGACTTAAATGTTAGACCTAAAACCATAAAAACCCTAGAAGAAAACCTAGGCATTACCATTCAGGACATAGGCATGGGCAAGGACTTCATGTCTAAAACACCAAAAGCAATGGCAACAAAAGTCAAAACTGACAAATGGGATCTAATTAAACTAAAGAGCTTCTGCACAGCAAAAGCTCTACCATCAGAGTGAACAGGCAACCTACAGAATGAGAGAAAATTTTTGTAATCTACCCATTTGACAAAGGGCTAATATCCAGAATCTACAAAGAACTTAAACAAATTTACAAGAAAAAATCAAACAACCCCATCAAAAATTGGGCGAAGGATATGAACAGACACTTCTCACAAGAAGACATTTATGCAGCCAACAGTGACGTGAAAACATGCTCATCATCACTGGCCATCAGAGAAATGCAAATCAAAACCACAGTGAGATACCATCTCACACCAGTTAGAATGGCGATCATTAAAAAGTCAGGAAACAACAGGTGTTGGAGAGGATGTGGAGAAATAGGAACACTTTTACACTGTTGATGGGACTGGAAACTAGTTCAACCATTGTGGAAGACAGTGTGGCAATTCCTCAAGGATCTAGAACTAGAAATACCATTTGACCCAGCCATCCCATTGCTGGGTATATACCCAAAGGATTATAAATCATGCTGCTATAAAGACACATGCACACGTGTGTTTATTGTGACACTACTCACAATAGCAAAGATTTGGAACCAACCCAAATATCCATCAGTGATAGACTGGATTAAGAAAATGTGGCACATATACACCGTGGAATACAATGCAGCCATAAAAAAGGATGAGTTCATGTCCTTTGTAGGGACATGGATGAAGCTGGAAACCATCATTCTGAGCAAACTATCGCAATGACAGAAAACCAAACACCACATGTTCTCACTCATAGCTGGGAATTGAACAGTGAGAACACTTGGACACAGGGTGGGGAACATCACACACCGGGGCCTGTCGTGGGGTGGGGGGAGGGGGAGGGATTGCATTAGGAGATATACCTAATGTAAATGATGAGTGAATGGGTGCAGCACACCAACATGGCACATGTATACATATGTAACAAACCTGCACGTTGTGCACAATGACCCTAGAACTTAAAGTATAATTAAAAAATGAATATATACATATATATATATATACCGAAAGATGTGTTTTTAGTGAGAGAAAGAAAGCATTTGTCTAATTCAGAAGTTATCAAAAAGTTAATTCAAATTATGAACTTAAAAGTGTTATTTATGAAACATGGTAGTAAGGACCCAGTAAGTAAGTGAGACAGATTTGAAGAAAGTTATGAACATGAAGGTGTATTTTTGGTAAGGAGGGTTATAAAGAAGAGAATAATTTATACGAGAAAAGATCTTGTATGGTGAATTTTTGTCCTAAGGTAAAATGACTGTTTATTAAAAATAAATCTGGGATGAAACAAAGTCTAAGCATATTGTAGATGGTCTGTGTAAATCATATGTAGTTTTTCCTGTTTCTCTGTGTGTCTGTCTTCAGGTACATACAGAGAAAATAGGAAATTGAAAAAGTTTAGATAATAAAATATTTTTTAGACCTAATAGAAAAGTTGAGAAATTTGGCTAATTAACTGCTCATACCTAATGCCCTTACTCTTGATGAAGGCAAAATAATAAGTAATGTAAAAATACATTGGCAGTTTGGCAGTTTCTAAAAATATAGCTAAGCATGAAGCCAGATTTAGCACAGAGCCAAATTTCACATGCATTTTTGTATTGCTTCACACTGTATTTGAGATTCTGCATAGATAGTATGACCACTAGGGTACTTACTGGTCATGCACCTAAAGTGAATTTCTTAATTGCATCTTAATTGCACAAACTATGTAGTAGTGTTGGGGAACTTAAAGATGTTAAATTGTGTATCGGGAGTAAAATATTTACCACGTGATTTTTTTTTCTCTGTGGGTATCACTTCAACCTCCAAGATACACTACATAGGAGATAATTTAGGGATTGCTTTTCTGTTTATTTCCTGTTTTTGTTTCTAATTTTTTGATTTTATTTGTTGTTTGTTCTCCTTTGGGCTTTACTTGATAAGATTATTTATGTTTTTTAATTTCTAATGGAAGGCTTTTCTTTGGTTCCATGAATAGTCATTTTGATTTCTATGCATTTCTAACAAGACATCATTTGTTGAATTCATCTTATATTCCTAAGCTACATTTGCAAAGCCTGCAAAAATTGATAGAACACGCCAGCCACTTAAAATTTGGTTGCTTTTACTTACCTCTGATGATCTAGAGAGCTACAAGAGCTTTATACTTACTGGCCAAAAAAACAAAAAATAAAAGACTTATTTTTATATGTTCTGAACAGAAACAATACATTATACATTTTGTTATTTGAAAAAGAAGATGAGATTAGATATGTTTAAATAGTGTTTATTTCCAAGATAGTTCATTGAAATCAATAATTTGAGTTGATTTCCTCTTACTTTAATAAAAGAAAAAAACTGTGATATGGATATAAAGGTTTAGTGTTCAGAAAAGATTAGCTTTGTCCTTAAGGAAATTATATTGAGATTTTTCTCAAACTACTTTAGTTGTGTTTACCATTATTAAAATTAAGTAACATTACTTAGATTAAGTGGTAATAAAATATGAGACTTTCTAGTGATTTTTGATCCCAAGCTGTGTCTGGAATTGGTGGGTTCTTGGTCTCACTGACTTCAAAACCAGTTTTCATTGATGGGCAATCATGTGCGTACTTGAAAAAAAAATATGTACAAGTGTTGTACTGGCCTGAAGATTTTAGTGGTGAAAGTTATCTAATAAGTTGTCAGTAATGTATCCAGAAACAAGTCTTGGAAATGTGTGATGATGCTCTTTTAAATAGCTGAAAAAAATTACTGTGTGCTTGTTCTTACTTTGCTTGTGTTTTTTTTTTTTTTTTTTTTTTTTTTTTAGACAATGTCTTGCTCTGTCACCCAGGCTGGAGTCACTGGCGCAATCTCGGTCGCTGCAACCTCTACCTCCTGGGTGCAAGCAATTCTCCTGCCTCAGCCTCCCAACTAGCTGGGACAACAGGTGCACACCACCAAGCCTGGCTGATTTTTTGTATTTTAGTAGAGACGGGGTTTCACTGTGTTGCCCAGGCTGGTCCCGAACTCCTGAGCTCAGGCAATCCACCTGCCTCGGCCTCCAAAAGTGCTGGGATTACAGGTGTGAGCCGCTGCGCCTGGCCCATTCCTGTTTTATTGTATAATATTTAAGTGAAAGATATTTATTCTCATGTTGAGTTTTCTAAACTGATATTTGTATTTACCTTTTTTTGATGGAGAGAAAAGTTAGGTGTCTTTCCTCCATAAGTTTGGCATAGAACCCATCACTTTTTGATGCTTTTGGTCACAGTTCTATCACTAGAATACTAGCAATTAGACATATGCAAAGAATAACCTAACTAATATGATACAGTGGTTTGAAGGGCTGCAGGCATTAACTCCTAAACACCAAATCACATTGTTTTAATTTGTAACATGTAAGACAGTACGATAGGACTTTCTGTAGTATAAATATCCTATTATTAACTAATCCTTGTACTATTAAGTTACAGGGCTTTGAATCCTGGGTCTGAAGAAAGCAGCAACCCTTGATAAATTTTGTGCATTTACACCTGTCAAATCCCGTTTTCAGACGCTAGAGAAGGTGACAATCAAAATGAACTGCTTTTGTGAGACACAAGCCTAGAAACTGAAACTATTTAATTATTCTAGACCCAGGGACTATCACAGAAGAGGGGGTACATGAGATTGTTAGAAGCGATTAGTTCATTGTGTTTACATATTAAGCATTAATATCAACAGCACACTGATGCAAGGCCAGTGTCTGAGCCCTTGTGTCAGAATGACAGGGTTTTGTTTTTGGAGCATTGATGTGCATTTTCATAAAAAATTGCAAAAGGTTATAAAAAGTTTATGAGGCTGGGTATGGTGGTTCACGTCTATAATCCCAGCACTTTGGGAGGCTGAGGTGGGCGGATCACTTGAGGCCAGGAGTTCGAGACCAGCCTTGCCAACATGGTGAAACCCCATTTCTACTAAAAATACAAAAACAATTAGCCGGGTGTGTTGGCGTACGCCTGTAATCCCAGCTACTCTGGAGGTTGAGACATGAGAACCGCTTTAACCCGGGAGGCAGAGGTTGCAGTGAGTGAAGATCACAGCACTTCACTCCAGCCTCGGTGAGAAAGTGAGACTCTGTCTCAAAAAAAAAAAAAAAAAGTTTATGAAAATTTTACATTATGGTCAAACTGATAAAAATTATAAAACAGATTTGTTTACGAGGTTTTATTAAAATTCACTTTAACATTAACAATACCCCATACAAAGGTAAAATTTTGGTTTTCTCTTTTAGACAAAATGTTTGTGTAATTTTTTTTTGTCCTCATCATCTAGTTTATTTATTTATTTATTTTTTTATTATTATACTTTAAGTTTCAGGGTACATGTGCACAACGTGCAGGTTAGTTACATATGTATACATGTGCCATGCTGGTGTGCTGCACCCATTAACTCGTCATTTAGCATTAGGTATATCTCCTAATGCTATCCCTCCCCCCTCCCCCCACCCCACAACAGTCCCCAGAGTGTGATGTTCCCCTTCCTGTGTCCATGTGTTCTCATTGTTTGTGTAATATTAAGAAGAGAAAATATTTTGTTTACCTTTAGAACAAACTACAGGGGAAAAAAATGGAGGCGGGGAGAGACAGATTTAGTTGGTGTCATGCTATCTTTATTAGGTCTTATTGTTTGAGAAATTGAGTCTCCTTTCTATCAAAAGGTAAACATTTTTTGTTTTATCCCTTTTGCCAAATGAATGCCTATTTTATAGTTACCTGTGATCCTATTTTGTTATATCACGTGTCTTAAAACTTTGATATTTGGAAAACCTCCCAAGAGTGAAATTTCAACTTCTAAATTCAGGCTTTTTGATCTCAAACTAATTTTTTTAGATATTAGATTCACTGAAGTTCAAGGGAGACATATTAAATTTAATAGGTTTATTTGTTATGTTAGAATTATGCAGGAAGCATTATCACTCTGAGGTAGTGTTTAGCTTCCTTTGGGTTGTATTCATATTGATGTGTTGTTAATATGTGTTCCAGGATTGTATGAGATTCCTAAAATTCTGATATGTCTTAATATACATTATCAGTAACAAGAGTATTATGTTAACTTGCATGACACAGAAATAATCAAATTTCTTTGTCAACTGTGTCTTTAACTATGGATGTCTTAAGACTTTTGTCACCCACAATTGTTGTTTGCTTTGATCCTTCTCAAAAAGGGACTTATCACCAGCTACAGTCCAGAACTTGTTTCTTTGGGGAAGTTCATGAAAAGGACTCTTGAATGCAGGTTTCTGGTAAGTTTGGAGACTGTGCCATTGGATTAGAGAGAAAACTTCCAAGGCACTAATTGAAAGGCTGATGTGCTCAGAAAGATTGCTAACCCAATATAAGGCAGAGCAGAAGTTTATCACATGGGCTAAACTAATGAAGGTCTGAAATACATTTATGGCTTTGTTTGAAATATTGGTGGTTCTTTTTCTTTTGGATTTTAGAGTCTGAGGAATTTTATTTCTTTTGAGCTATTTATAGTCTTTAAGTATACTTTACAAATACTGAGTATACTTTTGTAAACAAAATTCGAGGCACATTTCTCTGTCTGCCTAATTTCTCCAGAATTTGTAATCTATTTGTGAATATTCTTAATTCATGGCAATGTGGCTTTTTTGCATATAGTTAACAAAAATGTTTTCTTTCATAATGAGACACAGTTGGAGGAATTGGTTATTTTCTCAGGGCTTTGACTGAAATGGCCTTGTGAGTGGTTCTAGCAAAGCCAATTTAGGATAGCCTATATGGATAATGATCCCTGTTACACTTTGTGTGGGTAATCAGGCCATGTATATTGGACTAAAGCGAATTTTGTAGGTATATTGGTTCTGCTGTGATTTGTCTTTGGTGGAAGTTGGGGGATGGAGGGAAAAATATTGTGTTTCAGAAAAAAATTATGGTATTAGATTAACCTTTGATTCCCAGGTGGCCATGAGGTCACCTATAGTATGGAGCTGCCCATGATGCTCCTCCTCAGCATGAAGCAGGCAGAAAGATTGATGACAAGATTCCCCATAAGTGAGGAACTGATAAATAGAAAGAGGGATCTGAAACATATCCACTAGTCCCATAGATAGATTTTTTTTTATAATCATAGAAATTGACCCTTCTGGTCTTAAAGTTTGAAACTTACATTTGTTTTATCTGAGTTCCTTCCTCAGGAAAGGATTCCCAGGCCTCCTGGGAATGTATCAAAGAACTGAAACTCACCAGATTACCACATCCAGACAATGAGATGCCAGACCCTTCATTCACCATGATTACTTCCTTGCCCCTCACTAGTTCCTGTTTTCTTAAACATCATTATATTTCTTCCATAGGGTAGAACTAAAACTAGGGGTATATAAATCCCTAGTTTTAGTTGTTCAGGTAGATGGAATTGAGACTGATCTCCCAGCTCTTTGGCTGCAGCACCTGATTAAAGTCTTCTTTCTTGGCACTAATTGTCTCAGTGATTGGTTTTGTATGTGGTGAGCAGAAAGACTTAGATTGAACCCCTGGTGTTTCAGTAACAAAAGCACTTAAAATCGTGAGGTTTGTAATATATTTCATAAGGTTGATGCATATGCACCTGGTATGTAAGCTTTGTAACAAAGTAACAATTATTTCTTTTTAGTAATTCTTCATATTTTACAATTACATAAATGCATACTATTGGTAGACATATGCACATATACAAGTATACTTATTTGTGTGTATATATATTCATGATATACATGTATATATATACATAGATATTTCTATATGTATATATATACATAGATATTTATATATGTATATATACATAGATATTTATGAAATACATATATGTATACAGACATACAATGTCTGAAATACATATATGTATACAGACATACAATGTCTGAAATACATTTATGGCTTTGTTGTTTGAAATATTGGTGATTCTTTTTGTTTTGGATTTTAGAGTGAGGAATTGTATTTCTTTTGAGCTATTTATAATCTTTAAGTATACTTTACATATGTTGAGTAGAGTATACTTTTGTAGACAAAAGTATAGATACATAGATATTTATCTATGTATATGTGTTTGTACATATATGTGTACACACATATATACATATATATGTGTGTGTGTATATATATATATATATATACACATATATATGTATGCCATGCATACTTAAGTTGGGAAATCTACAATTTTGTTACATAAACATGAAAAAAGTTCTTATTGTATATAAGCTTAAATAAATATGTTTCTTTTCCCAGTGAAATGAAACTCTTTTTAACATAATGTTTATATTTACCTGTTGTAAATTGTGTAAATATATATAATATGCTTATTATCTGTAGAGAAATCATCTTAGTTCAGAATTCAGTTGACAATTTAGATTGATTCATGCTGAAGGTAATTTATTTTTATTTGGACATGAATGGAAATAGCAGTCTACATAAAGAATTTTTCTAATTTAGCATTTGTCCTTTCTTTTCATGCTCCATTTATTGGTTATCTGAATCTTCCATTCGAGCTTTAAAATGTGAACCAAAATATTGACCTCACATTTTTTCCTAGGAGAACTAGAGGTATTGGTACAAATAATAAGCAGTCTTCACTTAAGGCCAATAATTATGATGGCATCATTTTTCCCCATTTAATTGTTTTCATTGTAACATTTCATTTTGAGGGAAAAGGCTAAATAAGTGAAACAATTCAAACTCGTTATTTTTATAATTCATTATACAAGCTAAATAGGACTTAGAGTTGCACACTTATAAATTGAGCCATTTTCTACACTAATCATCTGGTACATGGCTTTAGACTACCCCAGGAGGTTCAATTTTAAAGTCTTAGTTTTTCCTTTAAAATCTACTGGTCTTCAGACAGACAGAAGGTTAAATGAGACTTGAGTAGGAGCAGCTGGGTATTGTTAAATATATACCATTTAAAAGGATCCAAAAAATAGAAAGCATATTCAGTTTCTTATCAAGCTCTAGAAGCTATGTGAACTAAAGTCTTTAAGACTGATAAGGGATTTTCTCATCTTCAGTTGAAGTTTGGATTTGAACTTCTCTTAGATAAATATATGAAACTTTCTTACATTGCATTCTGGCATGTCTTTTTAAATTATAACAGACACAATATTTGTAGAACATTGCCAACATTTCTTTAACTAAGATAAGTAACATATTGTGAAATGTCTTTTCACATTAAGTGGAAAAAGCACAATCTGGTGATTTCATTCCTAACCAAAAAAAAAATGTAATTTGAAGATTACAATGTATTGAGGGGTTTATTCTTCTCCACTATGCTTTGTGTCTCAGAATCCCTATTAGTCTATTTATCAATTGTTCAGTAGTACTTTCATTCTTTTTTAAAAAAATAACAAGCACGGATAATGAATGAAAAATTACAACTTCAGGGTTGTTTGTAAACATTACTTGTGGTTCAAGTTTAATTCCACTATTTTTATTATCAAATAAGTATTCTACAAATGTCACTTCTGTTTGGCATTATTTGAACCTGCCTCAGAACAAAAGCAACACCAAAACAGATAAAGGATATGTGTCTTTGCAACATGCCATCAGATGTGTGAGTGTGTAAGGCAGAAAAAAAATATTTTTCTCGCTTGTATAATGGAGCTAAGAGGATAAAGCTACAATATATTACATCTGTAACAGAGAGAATAAACAAAATACACCAATTTGAATTTTAAAACATGTATGTTTGCACAGCATTTCAGATTAGTGATGTTTGCAGTGCATAGTCACTTATGTAATGACTAATGTGTTGTCAACATTTGTGCATGGGCTGGGAGTGAAAGACTGTCTTTACACATTATAAAGTAAACATGTGCTTATCAGTTAAATTATTAATGGTTTTAGCTTTCATTATTTATTCTTAATTGTTGTGATGTTAAAGAAACTCATTTGATGAAATCTTGTATTTCATTTTTGATTTCAAGCTTAAATTTTGTTTAACCCTTTTATTTAAGCATTTTTTATCATTCACAGTTTATTACATAACTAGTCTTTTATTTTTAAAATTATCTCTATAATCCTTTACCTTTTCTGTAAGTATTTTGTTTGAAATTTGGTGAAAATTTCCAGTTGAGGATTATTTTTTGTCAAAATGGCTTTGTTCATTACAATTGCAATAGGCAACTATTAGAAGCAACTGTTCAGGATTTAATTAATTAACTATATTGATGGAAAATTTATCAAATTAGGATTCCAAGGCAAAATACCTCTGAAAGTGGGTGAAGCCATAGAAAAAGCACTACCAAAGGAAAAAATCAGTCTCTGGTGGTTAGTCCCCATAGTGACTGCCATAATCCCCACCTCATGGTATCTATGCCATTGAGTAATGTTCTTTCCATAAGTGTGAGACCTGTCACTTGCTTCTGAGCAATAAAATACAAACAGTGATGGACTGTCACTCCTATGGTTATTTCATGGTATATAACTCTCTATCTTTCTATCTTTCTCCTTTCTGGGCTTTGAAAATGTAAGCTGCCATATTGTAAAAGGGCCTATGGAGAGAGACTCATAGCAAGAATCTGCAGGCAACCTCTCAGAACTGACAGAAGCACCCTACCTCATGCACATCAAGCAACAAACTACAAGCCTCCTGTCCTACAATCTCAAGAAAATAACCTGAGTGACTTTGGGAGTGGATCCATCTGTAGTTGAGCATTTAGCTGAGAACCCAATCGTAGCCAACATATTCATTGCAGCCTTGCAGAAGACACAACAAAATTGTGCCTTGACTCCTGACTCACAGAAACTGTGATTTAGTATGTGTGTGTGTTGTTTTAAGTTGGTAAATTTTTGGTAACTCCTTATGCAGAAATGAAAAACTAATAAATAAGGTGGAATTATTAAATAAAGTAAATTAGCATAGCCATTGCCATGCATACTTATTTTTGTATTGAGAACATGTAAAAACCACTCTTAGCAAATTTGAACTATATATTATTTTTAACTATGGTCATTATGTTCTGCAGTAGATTACTAAAACTTATATCTATGTCTAACAGAAACTTAGTACCCTTTGGCCAGTATTTCGCCTTTCCCCCATCCACTTTTCCTCAACCTCTAGCCTCTGGTAAGCACCATTCTACACTCTACTTATATGAGTTCAACTCTTTCAGATTTCGTTATTTCACTTTGTATACATATATCAAGACATCATATTATACTCCATAAATATATACCATTATTATGTATCAATTATCTTTAAAAAAACTAATGCACAATCATTGTTTAAGTCTGAGGTAAATAAAATTATTTAAAATAATAGATTAAAAGAAAATAGCAGTGACCTGACTAATATAATAATATTAGTCATATTCATAATGCAATATGAATTAAAATCACAATGTAAGACACATGTTAATCCCAATAATGTTCTGGGATAGGCTTATATGATGTAACATAAGAGAAAGTGAAAGAAACCTCCTATTTCATAGTAATTATCATACAGGATGTTTTCTTAAACATCAAAATTAACTCAAGCTTATGTCTGTAAAATGTGAGAGTATTGCCAGAGGAAATAAGAAAAAATAATTTACCCGTATGTATACTCTATTAGGAGAAACATAAAATATCTGGAAAGTAGGAAGTGTTCATGTTTTAAATTGTTTACTCTGCTTTGTCTCATAGAAAGGTAACATTAAACTGCATTTAAATTGTCTTGTTCAAATAATTTTATCTTTTACAATGTTACTCTCATATATATGCGAGCCCTTACAAAATCCATGTTAAGTCCTAATCATAGATAAATGCTATTTCTAAATGCTATTTCAGATCAATACATACTTTGCATTTATAATTTAATTATTAAGGCTACTAGTGTGTAGTCTAGTTAAAAAAATATATAGACAGGTGACATAACAGTATCTCACAGCTTAGTTTGTAAAATTTAGTACTTGCCAAATCAGGGTTGCGGTGCTGTCTTGGGCAGATTAACTGTAATTCACCCTAATAGGAATTGTGTATCATGGAGGTTTTCAAAGAATGACTTATAGAGAAAAAGCTTATGTGAATGACTAAAATTTCCTTATTTAAAAATATTATTGTGAAAATGTTAAGAACAGGACTAGCAAAAGTGTTCAATAAGGCCCATTACTCTTACTGGACTATATTAAATTTTCAATTTTGAGACAAATAAAGGCAGAAATTCAGCTGTAAATTAGGGAATAATTAGGTTATCTATATCAACCGATGTCAGCTTATCCTTGTGTATACAGCTAAAAATGTTTCAAGTTACCTAGCAGCTCATACATCCCAAGAAGACAAATGGGGACTCCCATGAATATCAGTTCTAGGTAACCTGACTCCCGAAGTGTGGTGGATTGCGTGCAGGAAGGCCTACTTCTAAATAATTAACTAAAATAATCCCTCTATCATTAATCTCTCCTTTTCCTGGCAGAAACTAATTTGGTTACTGACTCCTTGGCTTTTACTTGGTTTCAGAGGTCCAGATTCCCTGTTTTAAATCCAAAAGTTGTTATTTCAAATATGGCAGTACCTGTAACTGATTCAGTTTCTGAAGAGAGCCACAGTGAATATACTGGTACCCCGGCTGTTCAACTTCTTAGGAGGGTAGGCAGCTACCATGCATAAGCAGGAAAGCCACATGATGCTTGAAAGAAATTAAAATGTTTACCTAGGAGACTGTGTACAACCAATGTTCATGTAAGTGTAATTCTCTTTATGTGTCTTTTTAAAAAACGTTTTAGTTCAGTGATACATGCACAGGTGTGTTACATAGGTAAACTTGTGTCATGGGGGTTTATTGTACAAATTATTTCATCACCCAGGTATTAAGCCTAGAGCCCATTAGTTATTTTTCCTGATCTTCTCCCTCATACCACCCTGTACCATCCAATGGGCCCTAGTGTGTGTAGTTCCTCTCCATGTGTCCATATGTTCTCATCATGTAGCTTTGACTGATAAGTGAGAACATGTGATATTTGGTTTTCTGTTCCTGCATTAGCTTGGTAAGTATAATGGCTTCCAGCTCCATCCATGTTCCTGCAAAATACATGATCTCATTCATTTTTATGGCTGCATAGTATTCCATGGTATATATGTACCACATTTTCTTTATCCAGCCTATTATTAATGGGCACTTAGGTTGATTCCATGTCTTTGCGATTGTGAATAGTACTGCAATGAACATACACATGCTTGTGTCTTTATAATAAAACAATTTATAT